>NC_000012.12:73672249-73823764 GCF_000001405.40 Homo sapiens
CAGGCAAACAGGGTCTGGAGTGGACCTCCAGCAAACTCCAGCAGACCTGCAGCAGAGGGGCCTGACTGTTACAAGGAAAACTAACAAACAGAAAAGAATAGCATGCTCACTCAAAGACCCCATCTGAAGGCCACCAACATCAAAGACCAAAGGTAGATAAATCCACAAAGATTGGGAGAAAACAGCACAAAAAGGCTGAAAATTCCAAAAACAAGAATGCCCCTTCTCCTACAAAGGATCACAACTCCTCACCAGCGAGGGAACAAAACTGAATGGAGAATGAGTTTGACGAATTGACAGAAGTAGGCTTCAGAAGGTGGGTAATAACAAACTCCTCTGAGCTAAAAAAGCATATTCTAACCCAATGCAAGAAAGTTAAGAACTTTGAAAAAAGGTTAGACGAATTGCTAACTAGAATAAACAGGATAGAGAAGATCATAAATGACCTGATGGAGCTGAAAAACACAGCATGAGAACTTCATGAAGCATACACAAGTATGAATAGCTGAATCAATCAAGTAGACGAAAGGATATCAGTGATTGAAGATCAACTTAATGAAATAAAGTGAGAAGACAAGATTAGAGAATAAAGAATAAAAAGGAACAAACAAAGCCTCCAACATACGTGGGACTATGTGAAAAGACCAAATGTAAGTTTGATTGGTGTACCTGAAAGTGACAGGGAGAATGGAACCAAGTTGGAAAACACTCTGCAGGATATTATCCAGGAGAACTTCCCCAACCTAGCAAGACAGGCCAACATTCAAATTTAGGAAACACAGAGAACACCACAAAGATACTCCTTGAGAAGAGCAACCCCAAGACACATAATCATCAGATTCACTGAAGTTGAAATGAAGGAAAAAATGTTAAGGGCAGCCAGAGAGAAAGGTCGGGTTACCCACAAAGGGAGGCCCATCAGACTAACAGCAGATCTCTCGGTAGAAACCCTACAAGCCAGAAGAGAGTGGGGTCCAATATTCAGCATTCTTAAAGAAAAGAATTTTCAACCCAGAATTTCAAATTCAGCCAAACTAAGCTTCATAAGCAAAGGAGAAATAAAATCATTTACAGACAAGCAGATGCTGAGAGATTTTTGTCACCACTAGGCCTGCCTTACAATAGCTACTGAAGGAAGCACTAAACATGGAAAGGAACAACTGGTACTAGGCACTGCAAAAACATACCAAATTGTAAAGAACAGTGACACTATGAAGAAACTGCATCAGGTAATGGGCAAAACAACCAGCGAGCATCATAATGACAGGATCAAATTCACACATAACAATATTAACCTTAAATGTAAGTGGGCTAAATGCCCCAATTAAAAGACACAGAATGGCAAAATGGATAAAAAGTCAAGACCCATCAGTATGCCATGTTCAGAAGATGCACCTCATGTGCAAAGACACAGATAGGCTCAAAATAAAGAGATGGAAGAATATTTACCAAGCAAATGCAAAGCAAAAAAAGAGCAGGAGTTGCAATCCTAATCTCTGATAAAACAGACTTTAAACCAACAACGATCAAAAGAGACAAAGAAGGGCATGACATAATGGTAAAGGGATCCATGCAGCAAGAAGATCTAAGTATCCTAAATATATATGCACCCAATGCAGGAGCCCCCAGATTCATAAAGCAAGTTCTTAGAGACCTAAAAGAGAGTTAGACTTCCACACAATTATAGTGGGAGACTGTAACACCCCACTGTCAATGTTAGATCAACCAGACAGAAAATTAACAAGCATATTCAGGACTTGAACTCAGCTCTGGACCAAGCAGACCTAATAGACATCTACAGAACTCTCCACCCAAAATGAATAGAATATACATTCTTCTCAGCATATCATCAAACTTATTCTAAAGTTGACCACATAATTGGAAGTTAAACACTCCTCAGCAAATGCAAAATAAAGGAAATCAAAACAAACAGCATCTCAGACCACACTGCAATCAAATGAGAACTCAGGATTAAGAAACTCACTCAAAACTGCACAACTACCTGGAAACTGAACAACCTGCTCCTGAATGACTACTAGGGAAATAACGAAATTAAGGCAGAAACAAATAAGTTTTTTGAAACCATCGAGAACAAAGACACAGTGTACCAGTATCACTTGGACACTGCTAAAACAGTGTTTATAAGAAAATTTGTAGCACTAAATGCCCACAGAAGAAAGTGGGAAAGATCTAAAATCAATGTTCTAATATCAAAATTAAAAGAACTAGAGAAACAACAGCAAAAAAATTCAAAAGCTAGCAGAAGACAAGAAATAATTAAGATCAGAGCAGAACTGAAGGTGATAGAGACATAAAAAACACTTCAAAAAGTCAATGAATCCAGGAGCTGGTTTTTTGAAAAGATTAACAAAATAGACCGCTAGCCAGACTAATAAAGAAGAAAAGATAAAAGAATAAAATAGATGCAATAAAAAATGATACAGGGGATTTCATCACTGATCCCACAGAAATACAAACTACCATCAGAGAATACTATAAACATCACCATGCAAATAAATTAGAAAACCTAGAAGAAATAGATAAATTCCTGGACACATACACCCTCCCAAGTCTAAACCAGGAAGAAGTAGAATCCCTGAATAGGTCAATAACAAGTTCTGAAATTGAGACAGTAATTAATAGCCAGCAACCAAAAAAAGTGCAGGAGCAGATGGATTCACAGCCAAATTCTACCAGAGGTACAAAGAGGAGTGGTACCATTCCTTCTGAAACTATTCCAAACAATAGAAAAAGAGGGAATCCTCCCAAATTCATTTTTGTGAGGCCAACATCATACTGGTACCAAAACCTGGCAGAAACACAACAAAAAAGGAAAACTTCAGGCCAATATCCCTGATGAACATCGATGCGAAAATCCTCAGCAAAATACTGGCAAACTGAATTCAGCAGCACATCAAAAAGCTTATCTGCCATGATCAAGTCGGTTTCATACCTGAGATGCAAGGCTGGTTCAACATTCACAAATCAATAAACATAATCCATCACATAAACAGAACCAATAACAAAATCCACATAATTATCTCAATAGATGCAGAAAAGGCCTTTGACAAAATTCAACACTCCTTCATGCTAAAAACTCTCAATAAACTAGGTATCGATGGAACGTATCTCAAAATAATAAGAGCTATTTATGACAAACCCACAGCCAATATCATACTGAATGGGCAAAAACTGGAAGCATTCCCTATGAAAACCAGCACAAGACAAGGATGCCCTCTCTCCCCACTGCTATTTAACATAGCAATGGAAGTCCTGGCCAGGGCAAACAGGCAAGAGAAAGAATAAAGGGTATTCATATAGAAAGAGAGGAAGTCAAATTGCCTCTGTCTGCTGATGACATGATTGTATATATAGAAAACTCAGTCTTATCAGCCCCAAATCTCCTTAAGTGGATAAGCAACTTCAGCAAAGTCTGAGGATACAAAATCAATGTGAAAAATCACAAGCATTCCTATACACCAAAAACAGACAAACAGAGAGCCAAATCATGAGTGAACTCCCATTCACAATTGCTACTAAGAGAATAAAATACCTAGGAATACAACTTACAAGGGATGTGAAGGACCTTTTCAAGGAGAACTGCAAAACATTGCTCAAGGAAATAAGAGAGGACACAAACAAATGGAAAAACATTCCATACTCATGGATAGGAAGAATCAATATCATGAAAATCACCATATTGCCCAAAGTAATTTATAGATTCAATGCTATCCCCATCAAGCTACCATTGACTTTCTTCACAGGATTAGAAAAAGCTACTTTAAACTTCATATGGAACCAAAAATGAACCCACATAGCCAAGACAATCCTAAGCAAAAAGAACAAACCTGGAGGCATCATGTTACCTCACTTCAAATTATACTACAAGGCTACAGTAACCAAAACAGCATTGTGCTGGTACCAAAACAGATATATAGACCAATGGAACAGAACAGAGGCCTCAGAAATAACAGCACATATCTACAACCATCTGATCTTTGACAAACCTGACACAAACAAGCAATGGGGAAGAGATTCTCTATTTAATAAATGGTGTTGGGAAAACTGGCTAGCCATATGCAGAAAACTAAAACTGGACCCCTTCCTTACACGTTATACAAAAATTAGCTCAAGATGGATTAAAGACTTAAACATAAGACCTAAAATCATAAAAACCCTAGAGGAAAACCTGGGGAATACCATTCAGAACATAGGCATGGGCAAAGACTTCATGTCTAAAACATCAAAAGCAATGACAACAAAAGCCAAAACTGACAAATGGGATCTAATTAAACTAAAGAGCTTCTGCAAAGCAAAAGAAACTATCATCAGAGTTAACAGGCAACCTACAGAATTGGAGAAAATTTTTGCAATCTATACATCTGACAGAGGGCTAATACACAGAATCTACAAAGAACTTATGACAGACAATATGGTTATTTGTGTTGAAAATTCTAAGGAATACACATGAAATACTCCAGAACTAATATCTGTGATTAGCCAATTCAAGGGCTAGAAGGCCAATACATAAGTCAACGGTATGCACACCTAGCTCCCAGATCTTGGTTTCAAATACCATTGTCTAATAAAAGAAAACAGAACTTCTTAAAAAGTGACTGATTCTAGGACTGGAACAAAAAATATAGAAGATGAGTCTGGAGCATCTTGTAGTGACAAAAATAAAAGTAAAGAAGTACTCAAACTAACAAACACCACCCCTGATAATGGGAGTATGTCAGATGCACACAGAGCCAAAACTGAAACAATGTAAGCAAAAACTAAATAAGTAAAATATATAGTATTAGATTACAAACCAAAGTGCAAAATCAATGTGAAGGAGTCCATATTGATATAAATACATGAGTGAATAAATAAATATTGGCGAGAAGAGACAAATCTCCTATGCAGAGGATTTCCAATTTATATTGATCCATCACTGTCATGGAGGTGAAATATAATTCCCTACTCCTTAAATATGGGCTGTGTATAGTGACTTCCTTCCCAAGGGTACAATGTGGAAAGGAGGGGAGAAAAGACTAACTTTACACTCAGAAAACTTCATAAACACTATTTCAGTGAAGTGATCAAAGTGCTATCAGTGAAAGATGAACAAAGCCAGATCCTAGCTAAAGTGGTAAGGACAGATTTTAATTAGTAATTTACTATTACTGAAAAGTAATTTACTATTACTGGAAAGAGGGTTTAGTGTGGACTGAGCTCATCTTTGATTTATACAGAGGTCACTGGGTACTTTAAAGTGAGAATGAGAGAGTAAAGAGAGGGGGCAGACAGGGCTCAGTAAAGTCAAGGAAGTAAAAAAATATATATGAAGAGTTGGTTAGTGTGAATTATGGTTAGGCCAGCTTTGTCTATTGGCTGGCAGTCAATTACCGAAGCTAGAATTCTATCCTCCCAAAGAGAGTGGGAGACAGAGGCCCTATCCCTCCTGGTTGATTCCATTAAAAAAAAAAAAATAGCTTTCAGGTCCTTGAGAAAGACATTCCTGAGTTGTAGGAGACACATATACATTTGAAAGGTACAGAGAAAAGATTCCCATTTAAGCCCTTTTTAGTAAATGATCTAAGAAGAGTGGTTGGAGTGTATAGTCAGATGTTGGCTAGAAGAAACAATATTTTTTTGTAGCTGTGGAGAAAAAGGTGACTCTGCCTTGGAGCTAATCCACCGTGTTGACTTCTGATTACCCCTATCCCTGGGAATGCCTCCTGGTTTCTACTTTATTTACTGTCTCTGGTGTAAACATAAGTCAACCTTAATGTTATCACACAGTATAGGCTATCATGCACATACCATCTTTCCTGCTGGGTTGCCTTTAATTGTCTTGCTAGAGCAGGTATACTCTTTCCCTATGGGATATAAGCACTGGGTCTGGGGAATAATGGTGCAGAGATCTACCCGTCTTGCTGCCACCCAAGACCCCATTTCTGACAGCAAGTTCAGTCAATAAAACCACCAATACCAACAAACTGGATTTATCTGCCTCCTTCTTCGGTTGTTTGGCCCCTTGGGCATTTGAAGGTCACTTTGCCTATATGACCTTTTCAGGGAAGAGCAGACTTAAGTTTTCGCAGGTAGACACTTTAAAGAGTTTAGGGTAATTCTAGAGATGCAGCCTCCTGCTGTTAGAGACTATGCTAGTCTTTGTTTTTCTTTTAATGTAAAATGCAAAGGTGGATGAAATCATTTGTGTTTAGAATCTAATTTTTATAGGCTAAGGTTCACGCTTAGTCAGATATAGGTCTCAGAGGAGTTTGACTAGTTTGGTTAAGGAAAGAATCTTTGTCATATCAACAGTGATGTCATTTGCTAGGAATGCATATGCTCAATAAGATGTGATTAAAACGATAGCACTTAACCTACGTGGACTTTCTCCCACATACCCATAACCTCCATCTAATCAGGAAAAAAGAAAAAAATCAAATAAATGCTCACAGAGGGACAGTCTACAAAATACTTGATGAGTAGTACTCCTCTATGCTGCCAGGGTCATCAAAAACAAAGGAAATTTAAGAAACAATTACAACCAAGAGGAGACTAAGGGAACATGACAACTAAATGTAATGTGGTATCTTGGTTGGGATCTGGAAGCAGAAAAAAAATATTAGGTGAAAACTAAGAAAATCTTAATAAAGTATGAATTTTATCTAATAGTGCCTCACTATTGGCTCATCAATCCCAACGAATGTATGATACTAATGTAAAGTGCTATTAATAGGAAGAACTGGTTGAGGGATATATGGTAACTTTTAAAACTATCTTTAAATTTTCTCTAGAAGTCTAAAACTGTTCTAAAAATAAATATTCATATATAAACCAACTCTATACCAACAATAAAAAATTGGAAAATATGAAAGAACAATATCATTTTTAATTATATCAAAGATTAATTAATGTTTTCCATGTGGCCTGTGTGAGTTCTCAAAGATATAGAACATTCTCCACAAATTTGTGTGTATCCTTACACAGAAGCCATACTAATTGTCTCTGTATCAATCCAACTTTAGTATATGGTTACCAAATTGCATGACTTTATTATATTTCTTATGCCTCTAATATCTATAGTGATGTCTCTTCTTTAAGATTGTTCTTTTTTGCTATATAAGCATTTAAAACAATGTATTCCCTCTGCTTAAGCTATATTTTGCATTTTGATATGTAAGATATATCAATATTATCATTCAGTTTTTATTAAAAAATCTGTAATTTTGTTTATAATTTTTCTTTAAGCCATGAGTTATTTAGAATTGTTTTGTGAACATTTTAGGTATCTTATAAACTGATTTCTAATTTAATTGTATGTTTATCTGAGTAGTACTTTGGTTTCAATATTTAAAACATATTAAGCATGTGTGTTTTCTGTCACAGTATATAGTCTGAGTGGTGAATATTCCATCTGTGCAAGAAAAATAATATGCACTCCACTTTATTAAGGATAGTATTCTAATGTTAATTACATCCCTTTAGTTATTACTTCAGGTTTCAGTATTCTTACAGAGAGAGGGGTGTTGAAGTCTCAAACTATAATTTTGTATTTGTCTGTGTTCATTTTCAGTTCTGACAGTTGTTGCTTCACATATTTTTTTCAACTTGTCATATCAACCCTGAGAGAGATGTTGCATTTCTATTTACATTTCTATTTACAGTTGCAGATTTGTCTATTTCTCCTTTTATTTTAAACATATTGTTTAATGTGGGTTGATGTTCTCTTAGATGCACATGCATTTAACAATTATGTACTATTAATGAAGTATACATATTATTATCATCAAATATGTTTATGTCTCTTAAAATATTCCTCATTCTAGGTTCTAGTTTGCCTTATAATAATATAGTAACTACAGGCCTCTAATAACTGTCATTTTTATGATCTCTTACTATATCTTTCTAGTTTTAAACTATCTCTGTCTTGTGTAATTCCTGTAAAAGAATATAATTGAATTTTGCTTTTAAAAATCAAACCGGACAATTTCTTCCTTTTAATTGGAGTGTTTAAACCACTTACTTGTAATGTAATGAGGATATGTCTATTATTTTATTTGCTCCATCTGTTCTTTGTTAGTTTTTATTTTTTCTGCTACCTCTGACTGAATCAAGAATTCTTATGGCTTAATTTTACCTCCACTCTTAGCTGTTAGCTATGCCTCTTAGTTTTGTATTTTTAGTGATTGCTCTAGAGTTTAAAATAAGAATCTTTAGATTATCACAGTCTATATTTAAAGATACTGTATCAATCAACAATATTAGAACTTTGAAACTGTATACATTCCTTTGTGTAGTAAATTTTAGTTTGACTTTTTAAAAAATAAATACTATTATTATTTTTGCTTTAAAATTAAATGTAAGAAAGTTCTTTGGTTATATTTACTCATAAATTTACCATTTTTGAATTTTTTTATATCTTTATATATAACTTTATATCTAGTATAATTTTCCTTCAACCTGAAAAATTGACTTTAACATTTCTTGTTGCAAAAAAAACTTCTGGTAATAAATTCTCTCAGCTTAGTTTTGTCTGAAAAATATTTTATTATATCTTAATTTTTGAAGGGTATTTTCTGTGCATAATACTCTAATGTTTTTAAAAATTGTTGCTTATTTGCATTCTTTAAGTCAAGCTATTTTTGTTACTTACTTGCATTATTTCTGCTGAGAAAAAATGTAATTTTTAAAATTTTGTGTTTTCATATTTATTTTTGCCTATTTTTGATTTTTATGTATTATTGGATTTTATAGATTTTATAATGATTTGTGTGGTGTGGTTTTCACTGTGCTTATCCTATTCAGGATTTGTTGAGAAAATTAGATCTGTGAGTTTGTAGTTATTACATTTTTAAAATGTTTGGACATTATTTTCTCTCTCTCTTTTTTTTTGTTTCTGCCCTCTTTATTTCTCATAAACCTATTATACATTAAACTGCCCTATAATGCTCCCTGTCAATGATGTTTGATTTACTTTTATTTCAGGCTTTTCCTTCTGCTGTGCTTCTGTTTAAATGATGCTTGTGGGTATAGCTTTAAATTTGCTGAACACTCTTTTTGCTATATCTAATCTATTGTTAATCCCATCTCATTTTTTTTCTTCTTCAGATAATGTATTTTTCAGCCCCAGAAATTGTATTTGGTTTGTTTTCAGCAGTTTCCTTTTTCTTTCTCACTATATTTTTAATTTATGGAGGCTATTTATAGTATTTATAATAAGTGTTTAAGTTCTTTTCTGCACTTCCTATGATGTCTGTCAGTTCTAAATCTATGTGTATTGATTTTTATCTTGATTGTGAATCAAAATTTTCTGCTTCTCATGCATTGGGAATATAGATTTGATGAATTGTAAATCTTATGCTTTTTAGTGTCTTAATATTGTGTTTTCTCAATGAGTATTGAATTTTATCTTAACTCATGGTTAAACTAATCATGGAATAGCTTGATCCTTTTCAGTTGTTTTTAAGCTTGTTAAGGTTGGTCTAAGAAAGGTTTTACTCTGGAGCTAACTTAGACTTTCCACTAGGGTAAGATATTTATGAGTTCTCTGAGTTTTCAACATTGTCTCTCTACTTTGATTTTCAACAAAGAAAGAATAAAATCAATGGAAAAAATTAATTTTCTCAAAAATGGTGCAGGAAAAAAATGAACCAACTCTTGATTCCATACATAAAAAGTTAATTTAAGATAAATAATAGGCTAAAAAGTAAAAGTTAGACTTACAACAATTCTATAAAGAAGCATATTAGAATACATAAAGAATATCTTTATAAACTTAAGATAGGCAAAGTTTTCATAAATAAAATATCTAAAAAAGTTTTGACCATAAAAAAATGATTTGTACTTAATCAAAAGAAAAAAATTTTTGTCTAAAGATAGCATTAAGAAAATGAATAAGCAAACTTCAGTCGAGAATAATTTGCTGTACATATGTAACTAATATGTATAATATATGCTACATAAATATACACATATTTGTATTTCAAAGAACCCATGTGCAGAAGATATAAAGACCTAAATAAGCCAACAATAAAAAGGTAGACAATACAACAAACACAATGGTCAAAAGACTTGAATGGACACTTTAAGAAATAAGAAATATAGGTCAAAAAACACATGAAAAGCATTATTGATCAGAAGAAGAATGCAAATTAAAACCACCTTCTGATCCATTTTCTCACTCACTAGAATTACTAAAAAAGAATGACGAGTCCAACAATTATACTGAGCATCTTATTATGGAATTATTGGCAAATTATGTATCTTCTTTGTAGGAGTATCTTTTCAATTATTTTGCCAAATATATGTGTTTCTATTTCTGGACTATTTGAGCAATTTATTGAGTTTTTCATCCTTAAGATAATTCCCCTGGGTTAAGAATATTCCCATCTCTTTACCAGGGATGAATACAGCTGTGAGAATCTTCTAAGAAAGACTTGCAACTTTCTGAAATTTAGTTAATTTTAAATCCTTTGCTTCAGTAACTCTCTTATGTGTTGAAAAGATATCTGATGGTTTAGCTTCCCTAGCTTGTTATCATTGTTAGGCTGGAAACATCTGTCTCTGGTGATTTTCTACATCCTCATCATAAGTGAAAGACTGAAAGTATGTTTTTGAATCTATAGTGAGTCTTGCAAAAGTGTATTATCAAGACAGAAGAGTAGCGCAAAAAGCATGTACAGACCTTTTTTGCTATATTCTAAGATAGTATATCATATATTGTAATACATTTTCTATATTTAATAAAAGTTTTTATCTTTAAAGTAAAAACAAATGAAAACAATTAAAATACTACATTTATTACATATCTGTACCTATATTTTAGAGATAAAATAATTTATAATTATTATCACGAGAGAGCAATGTATTTTCAAATAGTCATTGGTAAACTTCTGTTTGCAAATTCTAAACGTGCCTATGTTGTACATATAAGGCTCTTCACCCATAAGAAATGTGTGTGGGCACTACACTTACACTTGTCAGTCAAGAAAATATATGCTATTATTTGGATAATTTATTCAAAACTTTCATGTAGACATCAAAGAGATCTAAAGAGAGGTTTTTGCAGCTACAGAGATATTACTAGCCTCAGGTCCACCCACCACCCCTCAACCAGAAAGAATTGTTTTAGAACAATAAAATCATTCATTGCTGTTTGTTTGCACAAGGCAAAGTCTCTAATAGTATTAATAATAATGATTTTAGAAATATGTTAAAAATAACGCCAAAGAAGTCATGCTTAGATTTAAGAATTCAAATAACAATTTCAGATGATCACTGAGGCAATCCAATTGGGATGAGGGTAGAACTCTAAATACCTTTTCCCCTAAATTTAAATATCTAGTTATTTGAGTGCGATCATTTTTTAAAGAGGTTTTTAAAATACTTCAAATGAAACTCTTTCTGTGGAGGTGCTTTTGTAAAGTAGTGCAATTAAGTGGCTGATCACATAAGGAGGTACAATCATGGGTTTACTAAATGACAAGAAATGTGTCAGCTGCTTCCTGCTTGAAATTTATGGCTTTATAGGAGTGATGAAGTGAATAATGCAAGATAACATAAATGGAATGGTTATTTAAAATATCACAGCCTGTTGCTTAAAAAAAAAAACCCTGCATATTCTGAGATGCTTTTTCTCTCTTAGTAATTGTTCTGTATGTGCAGCCTGTTTTCTGGAAAACAGTTTCTCAGAAATGTTTATTGAGAAAATTAATAAATAATGAATAAATTTATATTTTACACTCCAGTGATAAAATAATTTATTAACGTTTTAGACTAAACTATACTGAATTTTTCTAGGGCAAGAGTGAAGATAGCAACAGTAGATGTGGATATGTAAAGGTGATGGAGATGAAGGCAGTGACTGAAAGACTTATGAAATATAAAGTGATAGCATCTTGAAAACTAGTACAGGGAGCAAGATGGTAAAATAGAAGTTTCCACACATCATCCCCCATCACAAGGACACCCATTAAACAACTATCTACACAGGAAAAAAAAATTAAAATTAAAATTAAAAAAAAAAAAACCTTCATAAGAACCCAAAATCAGGTAAGCACGCGTAGTACCTAGTTTTAACTTCATATCATTTAAAGAGGCCTTGTAGAGATAGAAAAAACAGTCCTGAATTGCCAGCATCACCTTTTCCACCCTTGGCAGCTGCTGCGTGATGCAGAGAGTATCTCTGGGTGCTGGGGGAAGGAGAAGACAGCAATTGTGAGGCATTGAACTCAGTGGTGCCCTGTTAGAGAGCAAAGGAAAACAAGACCAAACTCAGCTGATGCCCGCACATGGAGGGAACATTTAAACCAGGCCTAGCCAGAGGCAAATCACCAATCCCAGTCATCCAAACTTAAGTTCCCACAAACCTCACCATCAAGGGCTATAATAGTGCTCTGTGTCTCCAAGTGAACTTGAAAGGCAGTCTAGGCCATAAGGACTGCAAATCTTAGGTGAGTCCTAGTGCTGAACTAGACCCAGAGACAGTGCACTGGGGGGCACGTGACACACTGAGATACCAGTTGGGGCAGGCAAGGGAGTGCTGGCAACTTTCATTCCCAAGCCCCTCAGCGTGGGTCTCCTTCCTTCAACTTGAGGAGAGGAGAGAAAGAATGGTGAGAATTTTGTATTGCACCTAGGATACTAGTTCAGCCACAGCAGGGTAGGGCACTGGTCAAATATGAGGCCACCATTCCAGGCCTGAGCTCCCAGATAAGTTTTGTAGACACAGCCTGGGTGAGAAGGGAACATGCTGCCTTGAAGGAAAGGACCCAGACCTGGCAGCATTTATTACCTGCTCACTGAACAGCCGTTGGGCCCCAAAGAACCAATAGCAATACCCAGGTACTATATCAAGGGCCTTGGGTGAGCTTAAGAAGTTTGCTAGCTTCAAGTACTAGCATAGCCACAGAGGGTTAAAGAACTAAACAGGCTCTTGGGATCCTCAATTCCAGGACTTGAATCTTGGACAGCATTTCTGGACATCCTGTGGGCCAGAGGAAAGCATACTACCCCAAAGGGTGAATCCCAGGCCAGACAACATTCTCCACAACCTGACTTTAGAGCCCTTGAGCCTTAAGGGAACATCTGCAGTAGTCTTGCAGTACTCCTCATGGCCTGCAATGGGTGGGTGGGTGTGGCTATGAGGTGAAGCTCCTCTGCCATTGGAAAGCAGAGGGAAGAGTGGGAAGGACTATAACTTGCAGTTTCAGTGCCAGCTCAGCTGCAGTACAATATAACACCAGGTAGACTTCTAAAGTTTTGACTCTAGTCCCTGACTACTGAATGGCACCTCTGTACCCACCCAGGGCCTGGGGACCCTTGCTGCCCTGAAAGGAAGGACATAGGTCTGGCTGGCCTTGCCACCAGCTGATTGTAGAGCCCCAGGGCCTAGACTAAACATAGGTAGTAAGCCTGGAAGTGGTTACATCCAGCCTTGGATGAGACCCACTTCTCTGCTGGCTTCAGGTCTGATCCAGCACAGTCATAGTAGGGGTGGCCACAGTGGTGTTTGTGTCACTTCACCCCCAGCTTTATGTGGCTCAGAACAGACACAGAGACTCTGGAAGAAAGTGAGAGAAGAAAACCTGAGTATCTGCCTAAGAATTCTGCCAGATTTTGTCCAAGACCATTAAGGTAGTAGCTCTATGAGTGTGCAAGAACCACAGCATTATTGGGTATTGGGTGCCCTCTAAAACAAATGCAGCTTAGATCGAAACACCCAAGTTCATTCAAATATCTGGAAAGCCTTCCCAAGAAGGATGGCCACAAATAAGCCCAGACAGTGAAGAATACAATAAATATCTAACTCTTCAATATCCAGACACTGAAGAACATCTGCTAGCATCAACACCATTCAGGAAAACATGACCTCAACAAATGAACTAAATAAGGAATCAAGGACCCAGCCTGGAGAAACAAAGATGTTTCAGCCAACTAATTCAAACTAGCTGTTTTGAGGAAACTCGAAGAAATTCAGCATAACACAGAGAAGAATTTCAGAATTCTATCAGATAAATTTAACAAATAAATTGAAATAATTAAAAAGAATCAAGCAGAAATTCTGGAGCTGAAAAATGCAACTGGCATAGTAAAGAATGCATCAGAGTCCTTTAAGAGCAAAATTAAGCAAGTGGAAGAAAGAATTAGTGAGCTTGAATACAGGCTATTTGAAAATATACAGTAAAAAGAGACAAAAGAAAACAGAATAAAAAACAATGAAGCATGCATACAGGATGTAGCAAATATCCTCAAAAGGGCAAATATAAGAGCCTTCAAAAGGAGGCAGAGAAAGAGATAAGGTTAGAATGCTTTTTCAAAGAAAAAATGACAAGATTTCCCAAATCTAAAGTTATCGATATCCATGTACAAGAAGTTTATAAAACACTAAGCAGATTTAACTCAAAGAAGACTATCTCAAGACATTTAATTTTCCCAAAGTTTAAGGATAAAGAAAGAATTCTAAAAGCAGGGAGAAAAAACAAAACAAAACATACAGTGCAGCTCCCATACACCTGGCAGCAGACATTTCAGTGGAAACCTTACAGGCCAAGAAAAAGTGGCATGACATATATAAAGCACTGGAGAAAAAACATACTTTAGAATAGTACATCTGGCAAAAATATCCTTCAAACATGAGGGGAAATAAAGATCTTCCCAGACAAACAGAAGCTGAGGGATTTCATCAACAACAGAACTGAGCTACAAGAAATGCTAAAGGGAGTACTTCAATTAGAAAGAAAATGACATTAATTAATGAGTGATCACCTGAAGGCACAAAACTCACCGGTAATAGTAAGTACACAGAAAAACACAAAACATTATAATATCAGAACTGTGGTGTGTAAACTACTCTTATTGCAAAAAGAAAGACTAAACAATAAACCAATCGAACAGTAACTACAACAACTTTTCAAAATGTAGTCAGTACAATAAGATATACACAGAAACAACAGAAAGTTAAAAAACAGGGAGACTAAGTTAAGCAGTAGAATTTTCATTATTAGGTTTTTTTTTTTGCTTGTTTGTTTGTTTATGCAAACAGTGTTTAGTCATTTTCAGGTTAAAACAATTAGTTACAAGACAGTATTTGCAAGCCTCACAGTAACCTCAAACCAAAAAATCATGCAATGGAGGCACAAAAACAAAAAGCCAAAACCTAAATCATATCATCAGAGACAATCAACTTCGCTACAGGAAGATAGGAAGGAAAAAAAGAAGGAAGAGAAGACCACAACACAACCAGAAAACAAGTAACAATATGGCAGAAGTAATTCCTTATCAATAATAATATTGAATGTACATGGACTAAACTCTCCAATCAAAAGACATAAACACACTTCACCTGAATAGGCACACATAAACTGAAAATAAAGAGATGGGAAAATATATTCTATGTCAATGGAAAACAAAAGAGAGCAGAAGTAGCTATAATTATATCAAAAAAACGTAGATTTCAAGACAAAAACTGTAAGAAGAGATAAAGTTGGTCATTGTATAATTATAAATGTGTCAGTTCAGCAAGGGATGTAACAATTTTAAATATATATGCACCCAACACTGGAGCACCCAGATATATAAAGGAAATATTATTAGAGCTAAAGAGAGAGGTAGGCCCCAGTACAATAATAACTAGAGACTTCAACATCCCACTTTCATCATTGGACAGATTTTCTAGATAGAAAAATCAATGAAGAAACATCAGACTTAATCTGCACTATAGATCAAATAGATCTAATAAATATTTACAAAAAAATTAATGTCTCAGAATACACATTTTTTGGGTATCTTGTGTTTTCTCAAGGATTGGTCATTCTCAAGAATAGACCATATGTTAGTTCCCAAAACAAGTCTTAAAATATTCAAAGTAATTTAAATAATATCAAGGAACATCTCTGACCAGCATAAATGAAACTAGAAATTAATAATGGAAAAATTTTGGAAACAATAAAAATACATGGAAATTAAACAATATGCTCCTGAATGACCAGTTGGTCAAAGAATAAATTAAAGAAGAAATTGAAAAAAATTTTGAAACAAAAGATAATGAAAACACAAGATACCCAAACTTATGGGATACAGCAAAAGCAGTACTCAGGGAAGTTTTTAGCTATAAGTGCTTACGTCAAAAAAGAGAAAAAAAACTTCGAATAAACAATCTAATGATGCATATTAAAGAAATAGAAAAACAAGAGCAAACAAAACCCAAAATCAGTAGAAGAAAAGAAATCACAAAAATCAGAGCAGAAATAAATGAAACTCAAATGAAAAAAAAATACAGAAGATCAATGAAACAAAAAGTTGATATTTTGAAAGGCTAAACAAAATCGGCAAAGCTATAGTAAGACCACTAAGGAAAAAAGAGAGAAGACACAAATAGATTAAATCAGAAATATAAAAGCGGAAATAACAACTGATACTGCAGAAATGCAAAGGATAATTAATGGTTACTATGAGCAACTACATGACAGTAAGTAGGGACATGGATGAAGCTGGAAACCATCATTCTCAGCAAACTATCGCAAGGACAAAAAACCAAACACTGCATGTTCTCACTCATAGGTGGGGATTGAACAATGAGAACACATGGACACAGGAAGGGGAACATCACACACCGGGGCCTGTTGTGGGGTGGGAGGAGGGGGGAGACATAGCATTAGGAGATATACCTAATGTTAAATGACAAGTTAATGGGTGTAGCACACCAACATGGCACATGTATACATATGTAACAAACCTGCACGTTGTGCACATGTACCCTAAAACTTAAAGTATAAAGAAAAAAAAAAAAGAAAAATCTACCAAAAAAATGGACAAATTCCTACACACATATGACTGACCATGATTGAACCAGGAAGAAATTCAAAATCTGAACAGATCAATAGCAAGTAATGAGATCAAATTTGTAATAAAAACTCTCCCACTAAAGAAAAGCCCAAGACTTGATGGCTTCACTGTTGAATCCTACCAAACATTTAGAGAAGAACTAACACCAACCCTACTCAAACTATTCTGAATAATAGAGGAAGAGGGAATACTTTCCAATTCATTCTACGAGGCCAGTATTACCCAGATACCAAAACCAGAGAAAGACACATTAAAAAAAGAAAAATACAGGTAGATATCTCTGATTAATATTGATGTAAAAATCCTCAACAAAATATTAGCAAACTGAATTCAACAATACATCAGAGAGATCATTCATCATGACCATGTGGGATTTATTCCTGTTATGCAAGGATGATTAAATATACAAATCAATTAAAGTGATCCATCATGTCAACAGAATGAAGGATAAAATCCATGTAATCATTTCAACTGATGCTGAAAAAGCATTTGACAAAATTCAACATCCCTTCATAATAAAACCCCCCAAAAACTGATGATAGGAGGAACATATCTGAACATAATAAAAGCCATATATGACAGACTCATAGCTAGTATCATACCAAATGGAAAAATCTGAAAGCTTTTTCTTTGAGATCTGGAACAAAAAAAGGATGCCCACTGTCACTATTGTTATTCAATATAGTCCTGAAAGTTCTAGGTAGAACAATCAGGCAAGAGAAAGATATAAAGGGCATCCAAATTGGAAAGGAAGCAGTCAAATTATTTTTGTCTGAAGATGACGTGATCTTATATTTGAGAAAACCTAAAGACACCACAGGAAAACTATTAAAACTGATAAATTCAGTAAAGTTGCAGGACACAAAATTAACATACAAAAATGAGTAGCATTTCTATATGCCAATATGCATTTCTATATGCCAATCTATATGAGCAATCTGTAAAAAAAATGAAAAAGTAATCTCATTTACAATAGCCACACATAAAATTAAATACCTAGGAATTAACTTAACCAAATAAGTGAAAGATCTCTATAATGAAAACTTTAACAGGACACCAAAAAATTGAAAAAATATTTTATTTTCATGGATTGGAGGAATCAATATTGTTTAAAAATGCCATATTATCCAAAGCAATCTACAGATTCAGTGCACTCTCTATCAAAATACCAATGACATTCTTTATAGGAATAGGAAAAAAAATCTAAATTTTATATGAAACCACAAAGGACACAGAATAGCCAAAACTATCCTAAGCAAAAAGAACAAAACTGGAGGAATCGCATACCTGATTTCACATTATACTAAAGAGCTATAGTAACCAAAACAACATAGTGCTGCATAAAAACAGACCAAAAAAAAAAACAGTGGAATAGAATAGAGAAACAAGAATTAAATTCATATATCCATAGTGAACTTATTTTCAACAAAGTTGCCAAGAATGTGCACTAGGGAAAAGTTAGTCTCTTCGATACACAGTGTTGAAAAAACTAGATATTCATATACAAAAAATGAAACTAGTCACTCGTTTCTTGCCACATACAAAAATCAAATCAAAATGAATTAACTACTTAAATATAAGACCTCAAAATATGAAACTACTACAATAAAACATTGGGGAAAATCTCCAGGACATTGGTCTAGACAAAAATTTCTTGAGATATAACCCAGAAGCACAGGCAGCCAAAGAAAAACTGAACAAATACCACATCAAGCTAAAAACTTCTTCACAGAAAAGGAGACAATCAACAAAGTAAAGAGGCAACCCACAGAATGGGAGAAAATATTTGTAAGCTGCCCATCTGACAGATTAATAATCAGAATATACAAGGAGCTCCAACAACTCCATAGGAAAAATTTTAATAATCCAATCAAAAATAGGCAAAAGATTTGAAGAGACATTTATCAAAAAGATACATATAAATGGCAAACAGGCATATGAAAAGATGCTCACCATCACTGAGCATCAGAGAAATTCAAATCAAAACTACAGTGAGATATAATCTCACCTCAGTTAAAGTGGCTTATGTTCAAAAGGCAGGCAACAATAAATGCTGTGGTACTGATACAAGAACAGACAGATAGACCAGTTGAACAGAACAGAGAACCAAGAAATAAGACCACACACTGGCAACCATCTGATCTTTGACAAACCTGACAAAAATAAGCAATGGGGAAAGGACTTTCTATTTAATAAATGGTTCTGGGAGAACTGGCTAGGCATATGCAGAAAATTGAAACTTGACCTCTTCCTTACAAAAAAACAACTCAAGATGGGTTAAAGACTTAAATCTAAAACCCGAAACTATAAAAACCCTGGAAAGACACCTAGGCGACACCATTCAGGACATAGGTATGGGCAAAGATTTCATGACAAAGATGCCAAAAGCAATTGCAACTAAAACAAAGATTGACAAGTGGGACCTACTTAAAATACAGAGCTTCTGCACAGTAAGAGAAAATATCAACAGAGTAAACAGACAATCTACAGAATAAGAGAAATTTTTTGCAATCTATCCATCTGACAAAGGTCTAATATCCAGCATCTATAAGGAGCTTAAACAAATTTACAGGAAAAAAAAATAATCCCATTAAAAAGTGGGCAAAGGACATGAACAGACATGCCTCAAAAGAAGACACACATGCGGCCAACAAACATTAAAAAAAGCTCAACATCATGATCATCAGAGAAATGCAAATCAAAATCACAATGAGATACCATCTCATACCAGTCAGAATGGCTATTAATAAAATGTCAAAAAAACAACAGATGTCAATGAGGTTATGAAGAAAAAGGAATGCTTTTACACTGTTGGTGGGAGTGTAAATTAATTCCACCATTGTGGAAGACAGAGTGGTGATTCCTCAAACATCTACAGGCAGAAATACCATTCGACCCAACAATCCCAGTAGTAGGTATATACCCAAAGGAATATAAATTCTATTTGTAAAGACACAAGGCCACTTATGTTTATTGCAGCACTATTCACAATAGCAAAGACATGGAATCAACCCAAATGCCCATCGATGATAGATCAGATAAAGAAAATGTTGTACATATACACCATGAGGAATGCTATGCAGCCAAAAAAGGAGATCATGTCCTTTTCAGGGATATGAATGCAGCTGGAGGCCATTATCCTTAGCAAAGTAATGCAGGAACAGAAAACCAAATACTGCATGTTCTCACTTATAAGTGGGAACTAAATGATAAGAACACATGGTCACACATTGGGGAACAACACACACTGGGGCCTGTCATGGGATGGGGATGGGAGGAGGAAGAGGATTTGGAAGAACAGGTAATGGATGCTGGGCTTAATACCTGGGTTATGGGATAATCTGTGCAGCAAATCACTATGGCACATTTACTTGTGTAACAAATGTGCACATCCTTCACATCCACCCCTGAACTTGAAGTGAAAGTTGGAAATTGAAGTAAATTAGTACAATTATTATGAAGAACAGTTTAGAGGGTCGTCAAAAAACTAAAAATTGAGCTACCATATTATCCAGCAATCCCACTGCTAGGTATGTATTCAGAAGAAAGGAAATCAGTATATAGAAGAGATATCTGTACTTTTATGTTTATTGCCACACTGTTTACAATAGCTAAGATTTAGAAGCAACCTAAGTGTCTACCAACAGATGAACGGATAAAGAAAATGAGGTACTTATACATAAGGAAGTATCATTAAGCCATAAAAAAGAATGACATCCAGTCATTTGCAATAACATGGATGGAACTGGCAATTATTATATTAAGTGAAATAAGCCAGGATCAAAGAGACAGACATTGCATGTTCTCACTTATTTGTGGGATCTGAAAATCAAAACAATTGACCTCATGGACATAGAGAGTACATGAATTATTACCAGTGGCTGACAAGGGTAGTTGGGGGTGGGGGTGGGAGTGGGGAGGAGTTGGAGGGAGGTAGTGGTTACAAAATAATAATTAGAAAGAATGAGTAATACCTACTATTTGATAGGACAACAGAGTGACTATAGTCAATAGTAACTTAATTATACATTTTGCATTTACATTTGTAAGAGTGTAATTGGATTGTTTGTAACTCAAAAGATAAATACTTGAGGGGATAGTTACCCCATTCTACATGATGCACTTATTTCACATTGTATGTACCTTATAAATATATACACCTACTATGTACTCACAAAATCTTTTTAAAAAGAAAAGGAAAGAAAAATATTATAGTAAACTTCTGCAGAATGGAAGTGGGCCAGGTGTCAATAAAACATTAGTATACATAAATGTTGTGTAAATGTTACTGCATGACTCAGAAAAAGGAATTAGAGGCAAAATTGTTCTTCAGTGAAAATTGTAAGTGGAAAACAGGCACGTGTAAGTATGAGTCTCAGTGTGATTATCTAAGAATGTGTGTAATTAACTAGCTTTGATGTTTTAGCAAAAATCTGTAAAACTGCAGGAATTCACATGAGAAAATAATTTTTGCCTGCCAAAAGTTGAGTTCCACTCCAGTGTCTTCTCATTCTAGAACACAGGTAGAAGGATCAGCTTCTCTTTGGGTCAGAGAAGAAAAAAAAGGAGACGACAGAAATTACAATGCCTCTTAAAACTTCTGAATAAGTATAGTGCACATTGTATCCATTCACACTCCATTGGCGAAATTATATCTCATGGCCAACTCCAAGATTTGTGGGACCAAACACAACATCAATTTATCCGTCAAACGATGCACTGAAATTGTAAGGCAATTGGTCATGTTTTGGTAATCCTGTTATGAAATGAGTAGGTGGATGAGGAAGCCAATTGAACATCCTTTGGAAATAATAATGCAATCTAACAGAGGATACATTTGTCATTAGACATAGGTCATGATTGATTTAGTTACATATTAATTCATTCAACATATATTGATTTTCTACTATGTGCTTATCAATGAATGAGATACAATCATTGCCTTCAAAAGACATGTCCATAAAGACTGTTGAAGAGAGTAACTAGGTAATTAATACGTAATATGATAAATGTCATAAGAATCTGCATAGGGAGCTATGAAATAGAAAAGATTTTTAACTGAGGTTTGGATATTTAGAGGAAAAATGGAAGATCTGATATCTTGGCAGCTTCATGACCCAAGATTTTTCTATTTTAAAAAAAAATTTTACTCTACTTTTAAAAAATGTAGCAATGCTAATTTATTCACTAAACTTGTGTCTGAGTGATATTCAGAATTTAAAAACTACTATTAATTTATGGATAAGTTGATACTTTGAAAAAATGATATAGGAATTTTTGACTTGTTATAAGATTAATTATATAATATTAATTTGAAGCCAACGCCTGGCATTCGGTTATTAAAGGGAGTTTGAATAAAACTTTGACCAGGCATCGTGTTTACAAGCGCATTTATTGATGACAAAGGAGAGAAGAAAAAGGGACAGAAAGAGAAAAAGAAAGAGAAGAATTTACAGTCATTGAAATAGGCCTCACAAAAAATAACCTGGAATATGTTTACTGAAACAGAAACATAGAAAACCCCTATATCCTCCAGAAATGAACATTTTAACTGCAACAAATGGCAATCAGCATAAACAATTTTGCCTATTATCCCAGTGATGGTGAAATCATAAATAATACTTTGACTAAGCTCTTGTCAAAGCCTTGTGATAATAATATAAAAAGGTTTTTTTTTTTTTTTTTTTTTTGGGGTGATGAAACTACTTGGGATAAGTTTGCATCGGTCACTTTTACATAACATTGTCAGAAGGGGACATGATTTACTCTACCTTTCTATAAAGATACTAATGAGAAAAACATGTTATTATGTAATATAGTGTATATAGAGTATATGAGATTTTCTGCTCAGTTACTTTGTTTTGTTTGGCCTTCCTGGTAGCTTTCCCTATCCTCAGTGCATCTATATTATTTCTTTGAGGAGTTTCATATTTTTATATAAACATGATTTCTTATCAATATTGATTAATCCAAGATTTATAAAATATGTATTTTCCTTGGGATATCAGAATTGCAAAAGCTGAGAGTGTTTGAAGTTGTGAGTTACGTCTCTGGAGTCATTAGGTCATGTTTACTCCTATAGATATTAGAGAAGCATAGCTGCTCTTTTATTGAGAAGATAGAAATAAAGGAGGGCTTTAAAAATAATCAGAATAAAAGCAGAGAATATCTTCATCTTTTGTGTTCCCAGATCCAGTTGTTCCTGGGGCTTAGTCATTTTTAATGGTCTTTAAGCAAATGTGTGTGTGTGTGTGTGTGTGTGTGTGTGTGTGTGTGTGTGCATATATATATATATATATATATATATATTTTTTAAGGAAAGAAAAAATAAGCAACTGTCACATAAAAGGTCATAATCCCTTATGATATCAATACCAGTCATAGAATACAGGACAATTTTTCTAGGTCAGAAATTGCAGCAACCTAGGTGATGATGAGGTAGAATGAGGTAGAAACATGCTACACTGCTCTTCCAAACTATCCACTGCAAGTGTATCAACTTTCATGGGCTGAATGTGTCTTCCTAAAATTCACATGTTGAAGTTGAATGTAACCAAATTTGGAGTAAATCCCATTACCTCAGAATGTAACCAGATTTGGAGATAAGGTCTATAAAGAGATAATTAAGTTAAAATGAAGTATTTTAGGGCTGACCCTAAGGATATACCAATCTGCCTGGTCTCCTTACAAGAAAAGGAAATTTGGAGACAGAGAGAAGACATGTGAAGACACCAGAAGAAGACTGCCATACAGAAGCCAAGAAGAGAAGCCACAGAGTGAAACCAGCCCTGCTGACAACTTGATCTTGGACTTCCAGCCTGCAGAACTGTGAGGAAATAAATTTCTGTTGTTTAATCTACCCAGGCTGTGGTACTTTGTTATGGCAGCCCTAGAAAACTAATGCATCAACCTATCACTGGGTTATAGGACAGTTAAATTTATAAAATAGGTTTGCTAATGGCTTCACAGCATAACCCAGAACAACTAAGGCCATTCCTATTTAACATTGAATCCAGAAATTAAGTTTACAGGAAGATTTAAATTGGTAAAATTGGTAGCCTCTCTTAAAAGAAACCTACCTGACTGAACTGGACAAATATTATATATCATTTTTCTTGTTTATAATTTGTATAAGTACCATGGCAAGTGACCCCTGTTAAAATTATTTTTAATTTCTAATACCATTATACATATTTAGAGTACTCAATAAGGCTAACTGAAGAATTATATAAATGAAGAGATAAATGTGAATTAGTGGGTTCAGCTAGTTTAGGTATGATTGAGATAAATTTTTAAGTACTCTTTCATCTGTCTATACAGAAAATAGTTTTAAAGTAAAAATTGGTTCAGTATTTCTGAGAGGAGGTTGGCAATGTTAATTAAATTCTCTAAGTCTGTGTACAACCTTTGATTGCACAAATGTAAAGTTAGACATTTATCTAAATCACAAGTATAGTTTCCTAATGTATTTATTGTAGCATGTAAAGTTACAAACACACATGCACACACATACACACATTTCTCTAAGTTTCAAAAAAGTGATCATCCATATATAGTACATTTTAAGGTAAATAGAGAATTATAATGAATAATAAAATTAATTGATTATTTTAGAAAGAGAAAGTAGGATATGATTAAGCAGGTGGATACACAAGCTATTTCTAAGATATTGGTAATTTCTTAGTCTTTAGGCTGGTGGGTGAATACACACATAGTATACTTTTGTTGTTCTTTAAAGAGATGAAGTATGTTATTTTGTATGTGTGTTATATTTCCCAATATTAATTGTGGCATTATATATGTTTGTCTACATGCATGTATATGTATATATACATGTGTATATATCATATTCCCATATAAACATATTCACACATATGGCAAACACCAGCAAAAAGAAACCTCATGTATTCATATTATGACCAGAAAAATATAAACATTAAGCATAAAGATTATTAGGGATAATTAAGGTTAATATTTATTTTTAAAAAGAAATGATTCACCAAGAGAATATAACAATCCTAAACTTTTATACAGTACACCTAATAGAATTAGTATTAACATGTATAAAGAAGCTGCATCTAACAAAATTGCAAATAGACAAAAAATTCCAAAATATTATGTGGGCTACTTAAAAATATATTCCTCATAAATTTATAGGGAAGGCAGAGAAAACTAAGCATTCAAGAATAAAGAACATTTGAAAAATGCAAGGGACAAACAATTTGACATAAATATAGTTTTTCTTGTATTAAATAGAATATATTTATCTTTCTAACCATGTAAAAAACATTGATTAAATTTGGCTAGTTATTAGAGTACATGATTTCAACCAATATCAAATAATCAATAACTAACCAAATTCGTACTTAAATACAATGAATTACTGATCAATCAGAAAAAAATATAAAAAACAAAAATGCATTTGCAAACTGAAGTATAATATTCTCTTATGATAGAACATTATTAAAATAGTGCAGGTATATATTTATATAGACATTAATTAGGTGATAACTGAAAAAGCTTGTTAGAAAATAATAGTGATTTTCTTTCTTGATAAAAGAGTACTCATCCCAAAAAGACAAATTTTTTACAAAATAATTATGAACTTGTTGTTGTCAGCCCACTTCCTGATGAAGAAACTGAAGTTATACAGCAAGTAATTGGCAGAAATGGGATTTGAACACAAAGCAATCTGTGCCACAGTCAGTTCTTTTAACTGTGCTACCCCGCTCCAAAACATCTTTGTGTGTGTGTATGAGTGTGCATGTGTTTAGAAGGATTTACAAAAAATTGTTCTATATTTTGTAGGCTTAACAATATTTTTTCTTCCATTTTATCTTACTATTGCACAGTATAATAATATCATTTTTTTTTTTTTTTTTTTTTTTTTTTTGAGACAGCGTCTGGCTCTGTCGCCCAGGCTGGAGTGCAGTGGCGCGATCTCGGCTCACTGCAAGCTCCGCCTCCTGGGTTCACGCCATTCTCCTGCCTCAGCCTCTCAAGTAGCTGGGACTACAGGAGCCCGCCACCGCTCCCGGCTAATTTTTTGTATTTTTAGTAGAGACGGGGTTTCACTGTGTTAGCCAGGATGGTCTCGATCTCCTGACCTCATGATCCACCCGCCTCGGCCTCCCAAAGTGCTGGGATTACAGGCGTGAGCCACCACGCCCGGCCAATAATATCATATTTTAAAAGATTTATTCAAAATGCTATAAACTTGCTTCGTTTTTTCTTTAAATAAATATATGCATAGACACACATATTTTATTTTTATGTCAAAAAAAATGGGTATTGTGTTTGAGATGAGCTTATTATTTTGATCATACCATACACTAGTAAGGCATCAGAAAGACATATCAAACCACATTGAGGGTTTTTTTTCTTTCTTTTTGAGGCTCTAATGAATACATTGTGCCTTTAAAACTAGCAATGCATTTTTCAACTTTAAGCTAGCTGAATATTTTACCTGTTTAGAATCAGTATGGGGTCACCATAGCTAAATAGGAAACTATAATATCATTCATTAGAGGTCGAGTTACATGTACCCATAAATTATTAGGTCTTATTTTAGGATGCTTCAGCAATTGGATCATTCATTTCTTAAGATAGTTGGTCACACTCTCTGTCTAGCTTGCCTCTCTGCAACGGAGTTCTACTGTCAGAATTAAAAATAGCCAAACTGGGTCAGGTGCGGTGGCTCCTGCCTGTAATCCCAGCACTTTGGGAGGCTTAGGCAGGTGGATCACAAGGTCAGGAGCTCGAGACAAGCCTGGCCAATATGGTGAAACCCCATCTCTACTAAAAATACAAAAATTAGCCTGGTGTGGTGGCGCACGCCTGTAGTCCCAGCTTTTTGGGAGGCTGAGGCAGAAGAATCACTTGAACCTAGGTGACAGAGGTGGCAGTGAGCCGAGATCAGTCCACTGCACTCCAGCCTGGGTGACAGAGCAAGACTCCAACTCAAAAAAAAAAAAAAAAAAAAAAAAAAAGAGTCAAATTGAAGACTAGAGCAACTGCTATGTTTCCACGAAAGATAATGTGTTTTGACAAATTCTGTTCACTTGTATCAATAGAATAATTTAGAACAAAATCCATTAGTGTTCATTTTCTCCTCTTTCCTCAGTTATAAAATTCCTCCTATTTTCTCTTTATAAGAAAATAAAACTAGAAGTAGGTACCCACAGGAATTATAAGCATTTCCACACTTAATTGAATGCTGGAGCATATAAAACTTCACTATAAATTTTTTGTTTGAATTTTCCACACTTTCTGAAAATTGCCTTTTGTCATTCAAATACTTATTGTGAAAGGGCAAAGAACAAATTTAACTTCTAACTCTAAGTGGATCTTATCAGTGTTACAGAAACAGTCCAGTTAAATATGATGAAGTGGGTAGAGTTTATCAAGTCTTAACTCTAAAGTATAAGTGCTCTCCTACAGGAAACACGATTTGATGATTGTAACACTAGTTGCATGGTTGAGAATACATTTAGAAAGAGGCTCATTTCTTAGGGTGCACATTTAGATAGAATAATCCTAACCTGCACATTTGATAGCTTAGCTGTGCCTCATTAAGAATGCCAGTAGGTTCAGAAGCCAAGTGGGATTCTCTGTTGTTACTGGTTATGGAAAGTTTATACAGATTTTCAATATCATTAATTTTGACTCAGTATAGACACTTTTTTAATAAATAGATTAAATAAGGTTTTTAAAAGTTTAGTGAATTTGTTCCTTAGATTTTCTGAGTTCTAGGAGTGAGTGTGTGTGTGTGTGTGTGTGCATATGTGTGTGTGTGGTGGTGGTGGTGAGTGGAGAGAATGAATTCCTATGTTTATTTGTTCAAAACGTTAGGTGATTTATCCAAAAGAAAGAAATTTTTTCCTTATAAATTCAGAAATTCAGAAATTTAAAAGAAATAATTTATTAATAAAGAAATGCATATTTACAGTTATTTATATACTCTATGTAAATTAACACTTCTGTCTATATTGCTGAAATCTATGATATATTATTGTTTAGCTTGTAGCAATTTAGATGTGAAAGGGCCTTCTTCAAGTAGCTAGTATACCACTAATTTTATTACAGTCAATAATTTAAATTGATTAAATTTTATTTAATTTAGTATTTTGTGTTATATACTTTATAATTAATTACCATGTAATCAACATATTTATATCTATCAAACATAATTTAAAGAAACAGCATGTTATCACTCTTGTCAGATTTCATGAGATGAAATTCAATTCATTATTATTATTAATCTACTTATGAGAGAAATTTGTGATACATAATGGAATGATATCATATGATAAAGAAAGAAAACACTATGTAAATATACATGTCATTTAGGCAGGCAGTTTGAAATGACAATGAAAAAATAGTCATAATATTAAAATCTAAATTTATAAACCCAAAATTAACTGAAAATTTTGAGCATTTATTATAAAGGCAGTTATAATAAACATTATCCGAAGCCCTGAAAAAGAAGGGAATTCTGCCATTTGCAACAACATGGTTGAATATGGACATTATGCTAAGTGAAATAAACCAGAGAGAGAAAGACAAATACCATATGATCCAACTTATATGTGAAATCTTAAAAAAAAAGTTGAACTCATAGTAGTAACAGAAAGTAGAATGTTGGCTAGCAGGGGCTTGAGGATGGGAAAAAGGGGGGATGTTGGTCAAATTATACAAACTTTGTTATAAATAAGTTCTGGAGACCTACTATATAAAATATATAGTATATTTTCAAGTTGAATTGAAAAGTATGTCATCAAAACACAGAAATTTAAAATACTATACTGAAACCAAATAATATAAAAGAGATAAAAATTAAGGAATGGGGACCATGGAAGGACATATTTTATAGCATTCAAAATTAAGAATTAATGTACGGCAAAAGACAATTAAATGTTAATTTAAAAAACAACACATGTGACAGGTAAAGTGGTATGAATATTTGTAGTTCAGGCAAACCTAAGTGCTTTAAAGGCAAGGAGCAATAGGTTTCCAAATACAAGTGAACAGGACAAAAACTTTCATGATAGCAGGAAGTCCACCATAAGAAAACACCATCATGCAGGTAAAATGAATAAAGCAAGGTATATAACAAAAGCATTGTATGAACCAACTTTTTTTGAAGTGGGGCCTCACTCTGTCACCCAGGCTGGAGTGCAGTGGTGTGATTAGTTCACTACAGCCTCAAACTCTGGGGCTCAAGTAATCCTCCCATCTCAGCCTCCCCAATATCTAGGATAACAGGATAATGCCACCATGCCTAATTTTTTTGTTGTTGTTTTTGTTTGACAGGTACTTGTTATGTTGTCCAGACTAATCTCCAACTTCTGGCCTTAAGTCTTCCTTCCATCCTTACAAGTGTGACCTGGTCTGTATGAATCAATTTTGCAAAATATGATACAAAGCTATCCATACAAAGAATATCATCTGAATTACAATTTGCATATAATGCACAGAAAATGATGTAGAAACATTTACTGTCTGCTGCTGAGTGTAAAGTTCTACTTTTCTTTTTGCCTGATACGTTTCTTATATGTATGTTTCTATTGTTTTATGACATTTATCCTCCCCTCAAAAAATCAAAGATGAGTTATTTTCAAGGATTATGGAGAATTTTCTGGAAAACAGAAATGGTGTCTACATGTGTTTTGAAACCTTAGGGATTTGTTCTTGTTATGAGGACATACAATCAGAACTGACAAAACATAATTTTTACATGGCAACTCAAAGTCCTTTTTCAGTTTTGACATTTTCATCATTATCATCCTAGAATAAACCATTTTTTTTCTGACAATTCCTGATAAGCCAGGCTGTGTGGAAAATTTCATATTGACCTTCTCTAAAACATTTCTTATAAGTATTAAACAATCATGAGACAAATGTTGCTTTAAAGAACCTTCTCTAGGAGGGAGGGGGAAAGATGGTTGAATAGGAACAGCTCCTGTCTGCAGCTCCCAACGAGACCAACATAGAAGGTAGGTGATTTTTACATTTCCAACTGAGGTACCCAGCTCATCTCACTGCGACTGGTTAGGCACTGGGTCCAACCTACAGAGTGTGAGCAGAAGCAGGGTGGAGTGTCGCTTCACCTGAAAAGTGCAAGGACCTGGGGGACCTCCCTCTCCCAGCCAACGGAAGCCGTGAGGGACTGTGCTAACCGGCTGGGTTACTATGCTTTTCTCATGGTTTTTGCAATCTGCAGAACAGGAGACGCCCTCGTGTGTCTACACCACCAGGGCCCTTGGTTTCAAGTACAAAACTGGGTGGCTGTTTGGGCAGACACCAAGCTAACTGCAGGAGTTTTTATCATACCCCAGTGGCGCCTGGAGCCCAAGTGAGATGGAATCCTTCACTCCTCTGGAAAGGGGGCTGAAGCCAGGAAGCCAAGTGGTCTTGCTCAGTGGGTCCCATTCCCACAATGCCCAGAAAGCTAAGAACCACTGGCTTGAAATACTCACTGCCAGCACAGCAGTCTGAAGTCAAACGGGCACGATCAAGCTTGCTGGGGGTAGGGGCATCCGCCATTACTAAGGCTTTAGTAGGTGCTTTTCCCCTGGCAGTGCTAAGGAGGCTGGGAGGTCTGGACTGGGCAGAACTCACCACAGCGCGGCAAAGTGGCAGTGGCCAGACTGCTTTTCTAGATTCCTCCTCACTGGGCAGGGATTCTGTGAAGTAAAGGTAACAGCCCCAGTCAGGAGCTCACAGAGAAAACCCCCATCTCCCTAGGTAGAGCACCAGGGGGAAGGGGCAGCTATGGGCGCAGCTTCAGGGGATTTAATGGTTCTCACCTGCCGGCTCTGAAGAGAATAGCTGATCCTGGCAAGAGGGATTCTCCCAGCACAGTGCACCAGCTCTGCTAAGGGACAAACTGCTTCCTCAAGTGGGTCCCTGACCCCCGTGCTTCCTGACTGGGAGAGATCTCCCAACAGGGTTGGACAGACACCTCATACAGGAGAGCTCCGACTGACATCAGGCCAGTACCCCTCTGGGACGAAGCTTCCAGAGGAAGGAGCAGGAAGCAATCTTTGCTGTTTTGCAGCCTCCACTTTTGATACCCAGGTGAACAGGATCTGCAGTGGACCTTCAGCAAACTGCAGCAGACCTGCAGAAGGGGAGCTTCACTGTTAGAAGAAAAACTAACAAACAGAAAGCAACAATATCAACATCAACATAAACGACCCCCACACAAAAACTCCATCCAAAGGTCATCAGCCTCAAAGATCAAAGGTAGATAAATACACAAAGATGAGGAAAAACCAGAACAGAAACACTGAAAATTCCAAAAAAAAAGAAGGCCTCTTCTACATATGATTGCAATTCCTCTCCAGCAAGGGCAAGAAACTGGATGGAGAATGAGTTCGACAAATTGACAGAAGTAGGGCTTCAGAATGTGGGTAATAACAAACTCCTCTGAGCTAAAGGAGCACGTTCTAAACCAATGCAAAGAAGCTAAGAATCTTGATAAAAGGTTACAGAAACTGCTAACTAGAATAACTAGTTTAGAGAAGAACATAAATGACTTGATGGAGCTGAAAACAGCATGAGAACTTTGTGAAGCATACACAAGTATCAATAGCTGAACTGATCAAGCAGAATAAAGGATATCAGAGATTAAAGATCAACTTACTGAAATAAGGCATGAAGACAAAATTAGAGAAAAAAGAATGAAAAGGAACAAACAAAGCCTCCAAGAAATATGGGACTATGTGAAAAAACAAAACCTATGATGGATTGGTGTACCTGAAAGTGATGAGGAGAATGGTACCAAGTTGGAAAACACTCTTCAGGATATTATCTAGGAGAACTTCCCCAACCTAGCAATACAGGGCAACATTCAAATTCAGGAAATACAGAGAACACCATTAAGATACTCCTTGAGAAGGACAACCCCAAGACACAAAATCATCAGATTCTTCAAGGTTGAAACAAAGGAAAAAATGTTAAGGCAGCCAGATAGAAAAGTCAGGTTACCTACAAAGGGAAGCCCATCAGCCTAAAAGAGGATCTCTCTGCAGAAACCCTACAAGCCAGAAGAGAGTGGGGGCCGATATTCAACATTCCTAAAGAAAAAAAATTTCAACCCAGAATTGCATACCCAGCCAAACTAAGATTCATAAGGGAAGGAGAAATAAAATACTTTCCAGACAAGCAAATGCTGAGGGATTTTCTCATTACCAGGCCTGTGTTACAAGAGCTCCTGAAGGAGGCACTAAATATGGAAAGGAAAAACCAGTACCAGCCACTGCAAAAACACACCAAAATATAAAGAACAATGACACTATGAAGAAACTACAACTAATGTGCAAAATAACCAGCTAGCATCAGATGACAGGATCAAATTCACATATAACAATATTAACCTTAAATACAAATTGACTAAATGCCCCAATTAAAACACACAGACTGGCAAATTGGATAAAGAGTCAAGACCCATCAGTGTGTTGTATTCAGGAGACCCATCTCACATGCAAAGACACATAGAGGCTGAAAATAAAGGGATGGAGAAATATTTACCAAGCAAATGGAAAGGAAAAAAAAAAGCAGGGGTTGCAATTCTGGTCTCTGAAGAAACAAACTTTAAACCAACAAAGATCAAAAAGGACAAAGAAAGGCATTACATAATGCTTGAACCCAGGTGATGGAGGTTGCAGTGAGCCGAGATCAGGCCACTGTACTCCAGCCTGGGTGACAAAGCAAGACTCTATCTCAAAAAAAAAAAAAAAAAAAGAGTCAAATTGAAGACTAGAACAGCTACTATGTTTCCAAGAAAGGGAATGTTTAATGGATCAATGCAACAAGAAGAGCTAACTATCCCAAATATATATGTACTCAATACAGGAGCACCCAGATTCATAAAACAAGTTCTTAGAAACCTACAAAGAGATGTAGGCTCCCACACAATAACAGTGGGAGACTTTGGCATCCTACTGTCAATATCAGACAGATCAATGAAACAGAAAATTAACAAGGATATTCAGGACCTAACAAGGATATAGGGTCAGCTCTGGGCCAAATGGACCTAATAGACATCTACAGAACTCTCCACTCCAAACCAACAGATTATACATTCTTCTCAGCACCATATAGCACTTATTCTAAAATCAACCACGTAATTGGAAGTAAAACACTTCTCAGTATTGCAAAACAATGGAAATCATGAAAACCAGCTTTCAGACCACAGTGCAATCAAATTAGAACTCAGGATTAAGAAACTCAAAAACACACAATTACATAGAAATTGAACAACCTGCTCCTGAATGACTACTAGATAAATAATGCAAATGAGGCAGAGATAAAGAAGTTCTTTGAAACCAGGGAGAACAAATAGACAACATACCAGAATCTCTGGGACACAGCTAAAGAAGTGTTTAGAGGGAAATTTATAGCAATAAATGCCCTCATCAGAAAGCTGAAAAGATCTAAAATTGACACCCTAATATCACAATTAAAAGAACTAGAGAAGCAAGAGCAAATGAATTCAAAAGCTAGCAGAAGACAAGAAATAACTGAGATCAGAGCAGAACTGAAGGAGAAAGAGACATGAAAAACCCTTCAAAAAACCCATGAATCCAGGAGCTGGCTTTTTTGAAAAGATTTACAAAATAGACTTCTAGTTAGACTAATAAAGAAGAAAAGAGAGAAGAATCAAATAGACACAATAAAAAATGATAAAGTAGGAGATCACCGCTGATCCCACAGAAATACAAATTACCATAAGAGAATACTATAAACACCTCTACACAAAAACCAGTAAATCTAGAAGAAATGGATAAATTCCTGGACACATATACCCTCTCAAGACTAAATCAGGAAGAAATCAAACCCTGAATAGACCAATAACAAGTTCTGAAATTCAGGCAGTAATTAATAGCCTACCAACCAAAAAAAGCCCAGGACCAGACAAATTCACAGCCGAATTCTACCAGGGGTACAAAGAGGAACTGGTAACATTTTTTTCTGACACTATTCCAAACAATAGAAAAAAGAGGGACTCTTCCCCAACTCATTTTATGAGGCCAGCATCATCCTGATACCAAAGCCTGACAGACACACACACACACACACAAATTTCAGGGTAATATCCCTGATGAACATCGATGTGAAAATCCTCAATAAAATAGTGGCAAACCGAATCCAGCAGCACATGAAAAAGCTTATCCAGCATGATCAAGTCAGCTTTATCCCTGGGATACAAGGCTGTTTCAACATAGGCAAATCAGTAAACATAATCCTTCACATAAAGAGAACCAATGACAAAAACTACATGATTATCTCAATAGATGCAGAAAAGGCCTTCGATAAAATTCAACATCGTTTCATACTAAAAACTCTCCATAAACTAGGTATTGATAGAGCATCTCTCAAAATAATAAGAGCTATTTATTACAAACCCATAGCCAATATCACTATATCCTACTGAATGGGCAAAAGCTGGAAGCATTCCCTTTGAAAACCAGCACAAATCAAGAATGTCCTCTCTCACCACTCCTATTCAACATAGTATTGGAAGTTCTTTTTTTTTTTTTGAGATGGAGTTTTGCTCTTGTTGCCCAGGCAGGAGTCCAGTGGAACGACCTTGGCTCACTGCAACCTCTGCCTGCTGGGTTCAACAAATTCTCCTGCCTCAGCTCTGGCCAGGGCAACCAGGCAAGAGAAATAAATAAATGTAATAGGAAGAGAGGAAGTCAAATTGTCTCTGTTTGCAGGTGACATGATTGTATATTTAGAAAACCCCATCATCTCAGCCTCAAAACTCCTTAAGCTGATAAGCAACTTCAGCAAAGTCTCAGGATGCAAAATTAATGTGCAAGAATCACAAGCATTCCTATACACAAACAATAGACAAGTAGAGAGCCAAATCATGAGTGAACTCCCATTCACAATTGCTAAAAGAGAATAAAATACCTAGGAATACAACTTACAAGGGTTATGAAGGACCTCTTCAAGGAGAACTACAAACCACTGCTCAAGGAAATAAGAGAGGATGCAAACAAATGGGAAAAAATTCCATGCTCATGGACAGGAAGAACTAATATTGTGAAAATGACCATACTACCCAAAGTAATTTATAGATTCAATTCTATTCCCATCAAGCCACCATTGACTTTCCTCACAGAATTAGAAAAAAAATACTTTAAATTTCATATGGAACCAAAAAAAGAGCCTCTATAGCCAAGACAATCCTAAGCAAAAATAAGAAAGCTAGAGTCATCACACTACCTGACTTCAAACTATACTACAAGCCTACAGTAATCAAAACAGCACGGTACTGGTACCAAAACAGAGATACAGACCAATGGAACAGAACAGAGACCTCAGAAATAACACCTCTCATTTACAACCATCTGTTCTTCAACAAACCTGACAAAAACAAGCAATGGGGAAAGGATTCCCTATTTAATAAATGGTGCTGGAAAAACTGGCTAGGCATATGCAGAAAACTGAAACTGAACCTGTACCTTATGCCTTATACAAAAATTAACTCAAGATGGATTAAAGACTTAAATGTAAAGCTGAAAACCATAAAAACCCTAGAAGAAAACCTAGGCAATACTATCCAGCACGTAGGCATGGGCAACACCAAAAGGAATTGCAACAAAAGCCAAAATTGACAACTGGGGTCTAATCAAACTAAAGAGCTTCTGCAGCAAAATAAACTAACATCAGAGTGAACAGGAAACCTACAGAATGGAAAAAAAAATTGCAATCTACCAATCTGACAAAGGTCTAACATCCACAGTCTACAAGGAACTTAAACAAATTTACAAGAAAAAAACAAACAAACCTCTCAAAAAGTGGGCAAAAGATAGGAACAGACACTTCTCAAAAGAAGACATTTGGCTGGGTGCAGTGGCTCATACCTGTAATCCTAGCACTTTGGGAGGCCACGGCAGGCAGATCACGAGGTCAGGAGATTGAGACCATCCTGGCTAACATGGTGAAACCCTGTCTCCACTAAAAATACAAAAAATTAGCCAGATGTGGTGGCGGGTGCCTGTAATCCCAGCTACTTGGGAGGCTGAGGCAGGAGAATGGCATGAACCCAGGAGGCAGAGCATGCAGTGAGCCAAGATCGTGCCACTGCACTCCAGCCTGGGCAATAAAGTGAGACTCCATCTCAAAAAAAAAAAAAAAAGACATTTATGTGGCCAATAAACATATGAGAAAAAGCTCATCATCACTGCTCATAAGAGAAATGCAAATCAAAATCACAATGAGATACCATCTCATGCCAGTTAGAATGGTGATCATTAAATCTCTGGAAACAACAGATGCTGGCGAGGATGTGGAGAAATAGGAACATTTTTACACTGTCGGTGACAATGTAAATTAGTTCAACCATTGTGTGTGGAAGACAGTGTGGCAATTCCTCAAGGATCTAGAACCGGAAATACTATTTGGCCCAGCAATCCCATTACTGGGTATAAATCTAAAGGATTATAAATCATTCTACTATAAAGACACGTACACATGTATGTTTATTGCAACACTGTTTACAATAGCAAAGACTTTGAACCAACCCAAATGTTCATCAATGATAGACTAGATAAAGAAAATGTGGTACATATATGACATGGAATGCTATGCAGCCATAAAGAAGAATGAGTTTATGTCCTTTGCAGGGACATAAATGAAGCTGGAAGCCATCATTCTCAGTAAACTAACACAGGAACAGAAAACCAAACACCGCATGTTCTCACTCGTAATTGGGAGTTGAACAATGAAAACATATGGACACAGGGAGGGGAACATTACACACCAGGGCCTGTTGGCTGTTGGGGGGCATAGGGAGGGATAGCATTCGGAGAAATACCTAATGTAGATGACATGTTGATAGGTGCAGCAAATCACTATGGCACATGTATACCTATGTAACAAACCTGCACATTCTGCACATGTATCCCAGAACTTAAAAAGAAACTTCTCTTTTATTCCGTACCCTAAAGATAAAATAAGTTAACATACTACCGTTATCTTTCTCTTTATGTAATTACTTCTGACTAGTGAAAAAATGACTGCTATAAAAATATGCTAACAGTCATCTTATCAAATGTTTTGAAATGTTAAGTCTAAAACATTCAGGAAAACCCAATTATATATTTCCCTCAATTGGGATTTTTTTTTTTTTTTGATATTTTCTTGTAATTCAACTGGAATTACAGTTTTTTTGGAGGAAGGTAACAGAGATAAAATGCCATTTTCATCATATCATATCAATGGTACATATAATCAACATGTGTTTTAACTGTTGAGATTAGCCTTGATCAACAGGTTGAGGCAGTATTTTTTAGGTTTCTCCATTGAAAGATTAATCTTCCCTCTCCCCCTTTTCATACTGTAGATTTTAAAAGTCACAATGTCCATCTCACACTTGAGAAGTGGGGAGTTATGCTAAACCCTTTTGATGGTGAAGTGTCTATGTAAATTATTTGGAAGGTTTCTACATGGAATATTTACTTACTGTTTCCCATTTATTTATTCAATTTTCATATATGGTTTTTACATAGTATGAATTCATGTATATTTATTGTATACCTTATGTTATAATTCAGTGCTACTTTATTTGTTGTTCAATTTTTTCCAGCTTTGGGCATTGGGAGCTCAGCATTGCTCCTGTATCCATCTGACATACTCTCATCATTGTAGAGGTGGCCGTTTGTTTTTTGAGCAGTTTTTAATCTTCTGGTACTAAAAGATGCTCCAGGTACATCTTGTTTCTTTCTTTCCTAAAACTAGCCAGTTTTTCATGGAGCCCTGGTTATTTCTGTTGCAAAGTAGTTTTTTGTACCTGTTGCTGTTGGGGTGTCTTTGCTCTTAGCCTGTATCAGTGACAGAGCAAGAAAAAGTATGTGCATACCCTGGCCCATGTATATACATATACGTATATACGTATACATTTACTATGTACACGTATATACGTATACATTTACTATGTACACGTATATACGTATACATTTACTATGTACACGTATATACGTATACATTTACTATGTACACGTATATATTTACTATATATGTATATACGTATATATTTACTCTATATATGTATATACATATATTTACTATATATGTATATACATATATTTACTATATATGTATATACATATATATTTACTATATGTATATACATATATATTTACTATATGTATATACATATATATTTACTATATGTATATACATATATTTACTATGTATATACCTATATATTTACTATATATAGGTATATACCTATATATTTACTATATATAGGTATATACCTATATATTTACTATATATAGGTATATACCTATATAGTTACTATATATAGGTATATACCTATATAGTTACTATATATAGGTATATACCTATATAGTTACTATATATAGGTATATACCTATATAGTTACTATATATAGGTATATACCTATATAGTTACTATATATAGGTATATACCTATATAGTTACTATATATATAGGTATATACCTATATAGTTACTATATATAGGTATATACCTATATAGTTACTATATATAGGTATATACCTATATAGTTACTATATATAGGTATATACCTATATAGTAACTATATATAGGTATATACCTATATAGTTACTATATATAGGTATATACCTATATAGTTACTATATATAGGTATATACATATATATTTATTATACCTATATATAGTATATATATATACCTATATATAGTAAATATACTATATATACATATATACTATATATGTATATACATATATATTTACTATATATATGTATATACATATATATTTACTATATATATGTATATACATATATATTTACTATATATATATGTATATACATATATATTTACTATATATATATGTATATACATATATATTTACTATATATATGTATATACATATATATTTACTATATATATATGTATATACATATATATTTACTATATATATATGTATATACATAGATATTTACTATATATATATGTATACTGGTTGAGTTGATACTGGTTTCCAACTCTAATCTATTACCACATAATAATTCTAACCTACTTCCCCGCTTATCTCTAAATTTCCACTCCAACAGTGAGAAACCTGACCCCCACCATCCACTGATTAAAATTCTGTTCAATCAGAATGTGTATGTGTGTGTGTATTTCAAATTTGTTAACCTGTCCCCCCATGAGATATAACTTTATCAATGAGACTACAGTGTTTATTTACCATTCCTTTTGCCATGTTAGAATTCAATTTAATTATTTTGATCTATTCACATTCCATCCTGGAACCTCTGACCCCTTTCACATTTAAAAAAACTTATCTTCATTGAAGGTCACTCTTTGTGCTATCAAGTTCTATGATTTTTGGCAAATACTGAGTCATGTATTCACATTGGAGTATTATACAGAACAGTTTTACTACCCTAAAAATTTCTGTGTGCTTTACCTCTTCAGTGCCCACCCTCTCCTTGTCCCTGGCAACTACTGTTTGTATTTACTCTCCCTCTATAGTTTTACCCTTTTCAGATTGTTATGTAAATAAAATTGTACATTACGCACCCTTTTAAGACTGGCTTTTTTCACTTAACAGTATACACTTTAGGTTTCTCTGTGTCTTTTCATGAGTTGGTAGCTCAGCTCTTTATATATTACTAAATAATATTTCATTTATGGATATAGCACAATTTGTTTATCTATTCACTTATTAAAAGACATTTTGGTAGCTTATGGTATGATTTGGAATAAGGGTCCTGAGAAAGAAGATCATTGCCCTGTTCCCAGTCTAAGAAGAAAAGTGCCTTGTTTCTCATCATTAGGTATGACATAAGCTATAGGTATTTTGTAGATATTCTTTATCAAGTTTATATTCCCTTCTGTCTTAGTCCATTTGTGCTTCTATAACCAAATACCCAAGACTAACTCCTAACTGTATTAACATAAATCCTCAAAATGAAAAGCTTTTTCACTTCAGTTCCTATTACCCAATATAGCATATCCATCTCTTATCAAAAAATTATGTCATTCTAGAAGATAACAGAACAGAATGTGAAAAGACAAAGCAAGTGTCACATCCTGATGGAGATATGGTAAGTATATTGAAAGTATCAAGTAGGAAATATTAAATAACTATGACTAATATGTTAAAGCTTCTAATTAAAAGCACACAATATGCAAGAACAAGTGGGTAATGTAATCAGAAAGAATGGAAACTATTGAAAAAAATCCAAAGGAAATACTAGAAATCAAAAAGATTTAGCCAGGCGTGGTGGCTCACGCCTGCAATCCCAGCAATTTGGGAGGCTGAGGTGGGCTGATCACTTGAGGTCTGGAGTTTGAGACCAGCCTGGCCAACATGGTAAAACCCCATCTCTACAAAAATACAAAAATTAGTCGGGCATCGTGGCACGCACCTGTAGTCCCAGCTACTTGGGAGGCTGAGTTGGAAGAATTGCTTGAACCTGGGAGGTGGAGGCTGCAACGAGCCAAGACTGCACCACTACACTCTAGCCTGAGCAACAGAGTGAGACAATGTCTCAAAACAAACAAACGAACAAAAAGAAATCAAAAATAGTGTTAATAGAAACTAAGAATTATTTTATGGGCTCATCAGTAGACTTGGCAAGACTGAGAAATGAGTCATTGAGCTTGAGAGCAGGTCAATAAAACTTTCCAAACTGAAATCAATGAAAACTAAAAAACAAATATATCCAAGAACTGTAGGACAATTTCTGTATAACAAGAATACAGAATGAGAAAAAAGAAGAAAAGATAAAAAGGTAAATATGATGGGTTTGCAGTAATATTCGGCAAGAATTTTTAAAATTAATGACAGACCCCAAACTGTTTCAGAGCCATCAAGCTCAGAGAACACAAAAACAGATAAATACTAACAAAACAAAGCAAAAAATAAACAAACACCCTAAGCATATCATGTTAGGCAAAGTTTAATATTGGCCTTATCTATGGCTACCACAGTCTTCCATTTCCTCTCGTGGCCTTTTTCTGTTTTCCCTCTTGACTTTGGGCTTCCCTAACTAATCTTCCCCAGAGAGAGTCTGTCTTGCAGCTCTTTCAGTTAAAATCAGCTTTTATATAGTGGAGTCCTGTTGTTGTGATACTGAAGTACAGGGCAAGAGGAGGGTTTTTAATCATGTTTCCCTCTAATTTCAATGTTTTAGTGAGCATGTGTCTCAGATTTTACATTCACATGTGTTTATCCAGTGGTTTTGCTTTTCCCCACCACCTTCCTCTTCCCATTTTTCCCTGCTGCAGCATTCTCAGTCCTTTTTCTTGAAGCCCTGACCAAAGTTGCTTATGAGTTTTTCCTTCAGTTTGGTGAGGTGGAAAGGTTAGAAGAAAATGGGGTTAGAGTTGAAAGAATGCCCTTCCCCTACCTAGGTTAATGTTCTGACAAATCTGTCCCTGGAACATTTATCTTTGCTACAAAGAAGTCTTCAGGCCTATTTCAAAATAATTACCCTCCCCTTCCACTGTCAGGATCAAAAGGGGACATTTTGGGGATCTTCTTTATGAGAACCAGGCATAGTTACTTGATGGTAAGCATAAAAATGTGAGTGCAACCAAGAATTTCTCACTCACATAATAACCTACCTTCAGTCTACAGAAATTAGTCCGAATTATCATTACGTGTTCCTATCAGTTTATAGCTCCAGAGGATCCTGGTCCAGGTAAGCACACCTGGCTGTGTCTCTCTGGACAAATCTGTCATTACAAATTTCAAGACAGTAGTTCGCCCTGCAACCTCAGTTTTTGGACAAGTTAGTGAAAAATAATTGATTTTCAGTTCGTCCTGACTTTTCTCTTTGTAAGGACAGAATTGATAACTTCTAAGTTCTCTATATGTCAGATATAAGAGTGGAAGTCAACATTACTTAATTTTACAACATTGTAATGAGTAAATTTTTAATGACACAAAAAATCTACAATACAATATTAAGTCAAAAACTAAAATATAATGATACATGAAAGTATATAAAGCATGATCTTATCCATGTAAGACAACTGTTACGGAATATTTGAAAAACACCAAAATAGCCGTTATTTCTGGTTAGTGATATTATTGAAGAAAGTGTTACATTGTTTTTGTCCCTAATTATCCTTTAATAAGCATTTGTTACTTTATTGACACACATTACAAATTATAATCATTATGTGTATTTTAACCAATTTTAAAAATATATTTATGTGATTATCACAATAAAATACTTGGGCTTATAAATACTTTAGGGTAATACTTAATCAGTTGACTTTTCTCTTTAACAATAAAACATAAAAATATACTACCATCATATATTAAATACTACAATTTGCCAGGCCAGTAATCAACAAATATTTATGGTATTAATAAATTTGCGACTGGAATAGTTGAGTAAGGTTGCTAGAAACTAGATCTTTAATTTGGAAAATATTTGAGTAATAAAATTGAGGGAAAATATATTATAAAATAGATAAATATAAATACATACATATATATGCACACATAATTGTTTCTTTAAAAAAAAAATAAAGAGACAAGTCCTCACTGTGTTGCTCAGGCTGGTCTTGACTTTGGCCTCCCAAAGTGTTGGGATTACAGGCATGAGCCACCATGCCTGACCCTCAATTGTTTCTTTTTCAAGTGAATGGTTGTTCTTTGAACTACAATAAAAGATGCTGTCTAGAATTGCTTGAAGGCTCTTTGTGAATTATTATACAGAGGTCATTTAAGAACAGAGTTACTCCCTCTCCTCTAATGCTTGTCTCTTGGCTTTTATAACATACCCAAGTCCTGCAGTGCTCCATAATTTACAGCACTTAACTAGCTGTCATACGTAATGAGAAAAAATTGTTCAATATATCTGACAATAATTCAGGAAGTTGTCAAACTAGATTATCGGCTCCATTAAAATCCAATCAGACAAAATAAATGAGATGCTTGATTAATTTCACCATATGTTGGTTATAGTTTGACCTCCTCTGGAGGAAAAAAAAAAAAAATATATATATATATATATATATAATATATATATTCAGAAGAGAGGCACACACACATGCACATGACACATGATTACTTCAGAGAGCAGTTTCATTTTAAATGTGAAGCCAACAATAAATGTGACTAGTTGCTTTGTTTTTGAGTTATTTTAAATCCTATGATGTGTTTTTTATCTGAGCATGGAGCATTCATTGACATATCCACATTTACGTATACATTTTCCTTAAAAATGACAAGTTGAATATGTCACCTATGACACAAAGAACAAAGCTTGCATTGTACATCTATAAAATAAGTGGCTTACATAAATAAGATGCTTTCTGCCATAGCCAAATGGGCCATATGGCCCATATGATTTTTATAGCAAAAGAAAATTTTTCTGGTACGAGCATAAATGTTTCCCTGACTCCCCACCCCCCCCTTTTTTTTTTGAGACAGAGTCTTGCTCTGTCACCCAGGCTGGAGTACAGTGGTGCGATCTCGGCTCACTGCAAGCTCTGCCTCCCAGGTTCACGCCATTCTCCTGCCTCAGCCTCCTGAGTAGCTAGGACAATAGGTGCCCGCCACCACACCCGGCTAATGTTTTGTATTTTTAGTAGAGACAAGGTTTCACCATGTTAGCCAGGATGGTCTCGATCTCCTGACCTCATGATCCGCCCGCCTCGGCCTCCCAAAGTGCTGGGATTACAGGCGTGAGCCACTGTGCCCAGCCCGGCCAATGTTTCCCCCTTTACAAAAAAAAAAAAAAAAAAAAAAGAGGAAAAAAGAAGAAGAAGAAAAGGAAGAAAAGAAAGAGAAGGAGAAGGAGAGAGGGAGAAGAAGGAGAAGGAGGAGGAGGAGGAGAAGAAGAAATGGCATATTTCTTCTGGAGACATTGTGTGGCCTTGTTTGGGGACATCTTTGTTTGTTAGTTATGGATTTTTTGTTTGGCTTATATACAGTCAGCATTTTTAGATGCTTTTAAAAATCTTACTCCTGTCATAAAAGCTGAGGTGACACCTATTCCTAAATAATATTTTCTTTAATGTTAAAATTACAAGGAGAAGTATTCTGAGAATCTGAAGATCTGGTTTTATATTCAAGCTCTTCTACTTACTGTTTGTTTAACCTTCATCAAATTATTTAATCTTTCTTTTTATTTTATTTTATTTTTTTGAGACAGAGTCTTGCTCTATCACCCAAGCTGGAGTGCAGTGGTGTGATCTCGGCTCACTGCAACCTCCCCTTCCCAGGCTCAATGGATTCTCATGCCCCAGGCTCCAAAGTAGCTGTGGTTACAGGCATGTGCCATCATGCCTGGCTAATTTTTGTATTTTCAGTTGAGACAGGGTTTCACCATGTTGGCCAGGCTGGTCTTGAACTCCTGACCTCAAGTGATCCACCCACCTCGGCCTCCCAAAGTGCTGGGATTTACATGTGTGAGTCACTATGCCCAGCCTATTTAATCTTTCTGAGCTTTATTTCCCTCATCAGTAAACTAGATTAATGTTATATATTTCACATATTTTTGTAAGTAATAAATACAATTCTGTATATGAGTAAACTTCTAAATTTAAAGGTCTGTGCAAATGCAAAGAAAAAGTGTAGTCATATTATCATTGCTCTTCCATGGTTCATGAATCATAAACATAATAGGGTGTTTAAAATGTTTTTGTTATATTTAACAGTGTTGAAGAAATTCACTTGTGTCCAAAGACATTTAATAAGCATTTCTTTGTTACACTTCAATCTACTTTCTCATATTTCCCATGCCTGAAGAGCAAAACTACAGCATTATATCTAATGCCAAATTTTGACATCACACTAAAGTAGTTTACTTTTGTACAAAAATATCTATAATAAGAGCTACCTTTACATGAATGTCAACCGAATTCAAATGTGTTCTTAAGCATTTTATACGGATTAATTTGTTGAAATCTGACAACTTTATCAATTAATTTCTATTATTATCACCCTAGTTTTACTGATGCAGAAACTGAGGTGTGGAGAGATGAAGTAACCTCCCACTCAGCCATCTCGTAATTGAAAAAATCATGAATTGAACATGACTCTAGGATCCACAGTATTAATCGATATGCTGCACTACCTTTGAAATCTAGACTGAAGCACAAGCCTGAATTCAGATACTTAGATTTTCACTATTTTTTTAATTTCAAAATTTGCTTTAGGTTAATTGGCTATATTATACCATTAACAACAACAACAAAAATACTGGAGTGATAGGAATAATAATTGATGGGTTGGGATACATGCTAAAAGCTTTACATGGCGATCTCATGTAATTTTTTAATGATTATATAGCAGTTATTTCAACCTCATTTGATTAAGAAAAATAAACCTTAAAAAATCAATAAAATCCTCCTGACAATACAGCTAGCAAGTGAAGTAGCTAGGTCTTTCATCCTTGACTGCGTTCCTAACCGCTACACCATCTCAGTGTTTTGAAGATAATCTTAAAAAAGAGGGAATCATTTTTCCATTATATATCACATTCTGCAAGCTGAAATAAATTAAATGTGTGTAACCTCTATGACAATAACAATTGTCAAAGCAAAAATTATAAGATAATTTTAAAATTGAGCATTCATTGCTGTGTTTTGAAGCACACTTTAGGAATTACCATCTTTTATAAAGTGCTTGAGCCTTAATATCTAGTCTCAAGATATTAAGAGCGGGAAGATTTACATTCACTATTATTTTTTCTGCTGAATACAGAGGAGTGTGCTGTGAGAAGAGAAAAAGTGAGATCAAATATATAAATATACCTTTAAAGCTTTAAAATGATAGAAAACAGTACCATTTACTATGACTGAAGAAGGAAGTATAGCTTAGGTTTAACAGAGTTTTCATTAGAAAATCAGAAACCAATTGCCTTTATGAAGAGAAAGTAATGACTGTAATTGAATCAAATACATATTAGTTGTGGAATAGTAAGATGGCTTAAAAGGTACATGAGAATCATCAGCAGGAAATTAATTTACAATCAGATTCTCACACATAGTAACCCTATATTCTTACTGAGTAGATATCTAGTAGAGCAAAGGGGTGGACTTTTCTAAAAATAAATAGCACATTATATTCTGAGACAGGAGATGCTAAGATCATAGTTTAAAATCCATAGCTTTGGGCTGCCTCTTTCTTAGTGTCTGAGCAGTGTCTTCCATGTTTTACTTTTGTTCCAGTGGAATAGTCAATAAGAAACATCTATAGTTTTTTTCCAAAATCATCCAGTGAAAATCCTTTCAGCCACAAAAGGTGGTGTTCTCTGTATCGTTTTAAGGTTCTCAGTTAAAACAAACAAAAATGAAAATAAACAAAAAACAAAACAAATCCACAAACTCACAGAAAAGAGTTTTATTAAAGAATGTTATGTGACAACCATACATGCCCAATAGTATAGGAGCAGAAGAAGCTCCTAAGGGATTTAAGAGGCAAGGCACGTTTCTGTCAGCCTGTTTGCATTTCTGCCAATAATTATGAGAAGAGCATGCCCAGACTACTACTGTTTCTTGACTCCGGATATTTAAAGGAGAAATATGTTGAGACTTAAGATTTAAGATTGACCACCCTTCCCAAAGTAGACATACCCCAACAAACCCAAAAATCCATGAGATAGTGATAAATTAGATCTAGGGATCTGTTTGTTAAGACAAATCTACATAGCAGTGGTTGAGTAATTGGCTATGCTATTCAGAGGGACTATGCTGATGCCAGAAACCTGTACTATTCTAGCGAAACACACCTGGGTGCTATGGTTTGGCATTTACACTGGATGCTAGGCACTCATGTTGGAACCATCATTAATGCTTCCTCTAACAAGGTAGATACCTATGCCAATTTCCTAATTTAAAAATATCAATTATTTGTAGCATCTGCTTAATTATGTTACTCTTTCCTGAACTGAAGTCTCATGTGTGACCACCAAATATGTTCTTGTATTAACCCGTGGTATTTTGCCTCTATATGTTAAAATACATGATAAGGAAGACTTTACAGATAGAATTAAGATTTTGGACTTGCTGGGCATGCTGGTTCATCCCCATAATCCCAGCAGTTTGGGAGGCCAAGGCAGGCAGATCACCTGAAGTCAGGAGTTTGAGACCAGCCTGGCCAACATGGCCAAACACTGTCTCTACTAAAAAATATAAAAATTCGCTGGGTGTAGTAGTGTGCCTGTGGTATTAGCTACTGGGAAGACTGGGGCAGGAGAATCCCTTGATCCTGGGAGGCGGAGGTTGCAGTGAGCTGAGTTCGCGCTACTGCACTCCAACCTGGACGACAGGGTGATAGACTTTGCCTCAAAAGTAAAATAAAATAAAGTAAAATAAAATAAAATAAAAATTAAATTAAATTAAATTAAATTAAATTGAAATGAAATGAAATGAAATAAAATAAAATAATTTTCCTGGATAACCTGGGAGGCTCTAATGTGATCACATAGCTTTTGAAAAGGCAGAAAACTTCAGTCAGAAACATGAAACTGAACAAGAGGTAAGGGAAATTTGAAGCATGAGAGGAACTCAACCCACCATTACTGGGTTTGAAAATGAAAGGAACTCAAGACCAAGGCATGCAGCAGCTTTTAGAACTTGACACCAAGAAAATAGTGACCTCCATCAAACAACAGTAAGGAACAGAGTTCTGCCATCAATCTGCATGAGCAAGAAAATCAATTCTTCCCTCGAGGCTCCAGAAGGGAATGTAACCCTGCCAACCCTGATGTTAGGCCCGTGAAACCTGTAATGGACTTCTGCCCTACAGAACCATAAATTAACAAATTTGTGTTGCTTTAAGCTCCTAAATTTGTGTTCATTTGTTATGGCAGCAATAGAAAACTTAACATAACTTTGTACATCTTATAATATGTGGATGCCTTTATTTCATGACCTATTTACTATATACTGTATTGTTTGACACTCCAATACATGAGAAAGGAAACTATCATCTTTTTACATTCTTCCTCCTCTACTGTCTCTCTACTTCTGAACATTAGGCTAGTATACACTAAGTTTACATTAAGGTAAAGAGCAACTATGGGTTCACTAATACTATTTTCAATCTCCATACCTTTATATTTACATAATCAAGAGATTGAAAACATTTACAATCAACTCTACAATTATATTAAAATGCTTTATGTTTTGTCTATGGATTACTGTATAAAAACTAAAAGCCTAAGAATACACATCATCTACAGTATTTTAATAATGCAAATATGATCACTGCAAAACCAATGAATACTAGAGTAGTTCCATCTATACAATAATAAAGGCTTCCTCTGTAAAATATGTTCCATTGTCTTTATACTTCACTTTTAATCCATACATTACTGGCACCAAAGTCAAATGAATTGTTGTTCTTTCCATTCCATTAATTACTTAATTAAGTACTCTACCAAATATGTATTGAGTACCTAACATATTACAGGTACCCATCAAAGAATAAGGGCTTGCTTAAAATGCAAAAATTATCTGTTTTAATTGACTTCATATTTGAATAATTCATTATTTTTCATTTTTTTTAAAAAATTATTTTATTTTGACAGATAAAACATATGCCATAGTTACCATATCACTAAAACTTTTCAGTTTTGGGTTATACAACTTATGGAATTTTATATGTTCTCACTTCTAGGCCTCACATTTATTTTCATTTTAGCTTAATAGATGAATAGTATTTTCGTTAATCCTATTAAATTCTTTGTAGATTTCTTCTTAGATTACTGATACATTTTTTATTTTGCTGTGGCTTACTTGAATTTTTTTTTTTTTTTTTTTTGAGACAGGATCTCACTCTGTTCCTTAAGCTGGAGTGCAATGGCACGCTCATGGCTTACCACAGCCTTCAGCTCCTGGGCTCAGGTGATCCTCCCACCTCAGTCTCCCAGGTAGCTGGGACTACAGGCACATGCCATCATGCCTGGTTAACTTTTGTATTTTTTGTAGAGACAGGGTTTCACCATGTTGTCCAAGCTGGTCTCGAACTCCTGGTCTCAAGCAATCTACCCACCTCGGCATCCCAAAGTGCTGGGATTACAGGCATGACTCACCATGCCTAGCCGAAAGTTATTTTTTTCAAAAACCAAAGGTAAAGACAAATTCAAGGCTTACTTCAACTTTGAGAAAATGTCTCCTACTAGTTCATTGATTATATCTTTCTGCCTTGTTTGTTTGTTGTCTTATTCTAGAATGTCTACTAGTCTTTTGTATCTCCTCTGATTGGAAACTGATACATCTCTTACATATTTGCTTATATTTTGCTCTTAATTTTCTGAGATAGCCTCCATATGTTTTTCTCATAAGAACAATTATATTTTTAATTTTCATGAATGTTTTATTCTTCTACTAATTGTTCTTTCCTCATAAATGTTTGTCAAAGTTGGGTACATATGTTATCTCTTCATATATCCCTAAATTTACTAATTAAAATTTTTTGTTTGCTTCTTTTTTTTATTTTTTAAGTTATAAACCTTTTTCAGAATTACCTATGCTTCTTTTAGAGTTGACTTATTCTTTCTAGGTAAAGACTTTTTTCTTTTCCTACTGATTTTTCTAAAAATCTGGTAATTGTTGCTCAGTTATATTTAAAATGAAGGCCTAGATTTATTCATTTAGGTAGCTTGCATAGTTTCTTTTACATATCTAGCCATTTCTATGAACCTGAGTGCTATCTATACGTCCATTTGCAGCAGCAAGTCAGGAATAATGATATGTTATACTTTAAGTGTCAGATAAGTTCAACTCTTCACCACCAAAAACAATGATCATACCATGCATCACACAATCCAAACTGAGGCAGTAGCCCGAGTCTGAAAAACCAGGCTTAATTTCATTAGATGCTTACCTGGTTTTCTACTTGAAGTAAAGACACTGATGTATACACTCCAGAGGTACCCAAAGGTGATGCGAGGACTCAATTAGAATGTATAAAAAGGCAAGTGAAATTCAATGAAGACAATTTTAAAAATTTGATAGGGATGATATTTTCCCCATCTTGTTCTCTTTTGTCCTTCTCGGAAGAGCAGTAACAACCTATTAGTCTTTGTTGTCTCTTTTATTTTGAGATATATAAAGGATACTTCTTTTGTATAACTTTTTTCCCTGAAATAAAATTTCTCAAGCCAATTTTCATAAGTTTTACTTTGAAGGAAAAATACCTTAGTAGGTTATATGTCATTCATATACATATTCTAAATGGCAAAAATTACTATAAATAAATTGTTTAAAATGTAGTCTAGACTATATTATTTCTCCCTGGGAGTATATTGGCATTTTGGGTCAGTCAATATTTTGCTGTCCAGAACTGTACTATACACCAACAGTTATATAGCATCTCTGTTTCTCTCTTCAATATGTCCCCTTTCTTGTCCCTATGACAACCTCTAACAACATAGCACATTTTCCCTGTCCCTCAAGAGATAGGATTTAGACCAATGGCCTTACTATATCAACAGCCCAGCCAGCCCCGTCATTTTCCAATAGGTATAATTGTAGTAATATACAGTATGTATTCTCTTAGTCTAACTACATTTTAAATAATTTGAGTACAGGAACCATTATTAACTGTGTTTCCCCTGGAATGACTAGCATGGTAATAGATGATGCTTATCTTTTAATGAATATGCTATTTGATGAACCTCATTCTGTCGAGTGTGGCCTCAGTAATGGGTGTAACTATACTGGTTTATCTGTGGCTACATAGATTCTCAATATCAGGATTTATAAAAACTGAGATGTAATGGAAATGTGGGTGAGTGAGAGAGAGTGAGAGAGAATATGGATGTGTTGTACTAAGTCACCATATACTGATTTCAGGCAATACCTAGGTTTTGAGAGATCCTAAAGAAAAAACAAAAGAAATTAAAACATTTGCAACAATATTTAAAACCTAGCTTGTGTTTATTAATATGCAAATTTAAATATGAAACAGAGAATCAAATCAGATTTGGGCAAAGCATTTATTGAGTAAATTTTATGTGACTGGCCAGGAACTGCAGTTAGCTGTAAAATCTGAATTCTGCCTTCAGGTTAAAACAGTCCAATATAATGCGATGCATGTGGGCTTTGTGATGAGATAAATATTTGAATTAATACCAGTTTCTATCATTTGCTGAGCAAAATTTAAAGATCTATACATTTGGAATGGGAATAAAAATTTGAAGACATACCAAGGTAAAACTTAAATATATCAGTTGACTACTCAAACAGAAAAGCTCAAAGTCCTGAAAGGTTTGTAAAATTAGAATTTAGCAGCGAGGGCAGGTGTAGGCCAGTTTGCCAGGGCATGTTCGAAGGTAGTAATTTATCTTTGGAAAGAACAGATTTAGATGATGGGTCAGAGGCCTCAGTGTTCATCCACAGACTACTTAACATGGAAGTTGTAATGTACAAAATGAAAATATTAGGGCAGTGAGCAATCAATACAAGTTTTTGTACCAATTAAGAATGGTTGCATTAGCTAGCTCTTAAATAACTCTTCTTTAAAAAAATTGTCAAGTGACTTTCAGAATATATGTTATAAATTCTAATTCCCAGGTATAAATCACACTGATAAATTGCAGTTGCATTACTTTGTAGATTTATTTGTAAACCATGGTCAATAATGGACTCTGCCCTATAATACTATAATGTATGACAAAGTTACAATAATTTAAAAAACATGGTCTTTGTGAGAAAAAAGGACTTTAACCAAGAAAAAGTACAGACAACTTATATGGATATTGGTAAATATGTAGAATAGCATGAACACAATATACTAAATATAGAAGGAATTCTTTAGTTTATAAATAGCTTCATCAGCATTAGGTAAAATAAAAATAATATCTGTACCTTTCAATATATACCAAAATGAGACATAGATGATTTGAGTATTTGTTATTCACAAAGTAAAAATACATATTAGGGAAATCATCTTTTGGTAAATATTTACAGAATGTTATAGTAGAAAGTCCATTTTAAGAATGACACCATAGTCAAAAAGCATAAATGGAAGTTTTAATATATTGGAACACAAATTAATTATATTTTTGCTCAGAAGAGTATTGGAAATATTTTGAACAACATTCCTGACATAATTACTAATTGTCTTTACTAAGTTTATATATCTCTGGATTTGAGTATAATTTTTAAATATTTAAATTTTTTTTTTTTTTTTTTGAGATGGAGTCTCACTCTGTTTCCCACGCTGGTGATCTCAGCTCACTGCAGCCTCTGCCTCCGGGGTTCACGCCATTCTCCTGCCTCAGCCTCCAGAGTAGCTAGAACTACAAGTGCATGCCACCACGCCCGGCAAATTTTTTGTATTTTTAGTAGAGATGGGGTTTCACCATGTTAGCCAGGATGGTCTCGATCTCCTGACCTAGTGATCCTCCCCCATCAGCCTCCCAAACTGCTGGGACTACAGGCGCATGCCACCACATCCAGCTAGTTTTCATATTTAAGTTAAAATCTTTGTAATAATGAATCTGTCTGTTCAACAAAACATTAGGGGAATTCAGAAACTACTTAACCAAAAAAGACTATAGTTACACTTCTATCTATCTAGATCAGTATACAAGCTTCACAAAATAGGCCCCAGAGCCTCACTTTTGTTTTTCTGGTTTATAAATCAAAATAAAATGATGCAAATGGAATTTTCAACATTTACAAAATTTATAACTGAGTGATATTTTCAGATCTGGAACTAAAGTTATAAGATTTGCATTTTAGTTCCATTTATTCTACATATTTGGAATTTTTATTTTAGCCAGATAGCACATTTTCTTAATTATCAATATACATATTTTTCATTTTTCTAAAATGAGTATAATTTTATAATTTATAAATGTATTTTATGTGGTAGTAATGAATTTTTGTTTTTATCAAAGTTACAATTTAATTATAGTCATCTTAAAACAATTCAAGGCCATTTTAGATTCTAGAATATATGTTGTTTTATTCTTTTATTATTTCCACAGATACATAGTCAGTGTCTGCTCTGGGCTAGACTCTGTCTGGGTACCAAAGATGTAAAAACTAATAAAACAAAGGTGGTCCCTGGTTGCCTGTGGCAGAGAAAAGTAACCAGAACATATATTTTTAAATTATTTATTAAACAATCCATTTCAGGCTTCTGTTAAGGTGGGGTAAAGACATGAGTCTTATTTTCCCAATAGGAAAGGCTAGAAATTAGGGGCCGATACACACCAGCTAGTTTGTTCTACCATGTTGCTGGAACCAAAGCTGAGATTATTCCCTTGAACCAAAAAAGAGGAATGCAGCTGATGTTGCTATCACTCAAAGCAGAGACTGAAAACCTAAGTAATCCTTCATATCTGACTGATTATTTCTATCTGGCATGTGTAAAGAGTCAATTCTGATTCCTCTCATTTCACTTAAACAAAATATTAAATATTCATACGTGGGAATTTACGTTTGAAGGATTCTGTAAGAGCCGTTGGCTGCTGTTTGCGCTTTGACCAAATTGACCTGAGCTTCCATGGTATCTTAATTTAGTCACACAACTCTCTAGCTTTTGCATGTTGACACGCTCAGTCATGTTCTTCATGGCATATAGTGTCAGAGTGGCTAGTCTTAGCAGTCTTTTATGACACCATTCCAGACTTCTTCCTCTTTTAAGGTGGTTTTTGTCATGTTTACTTCTCCAGGTCATTTCAATCCACCAGAAGTGTTCTAGTAAAACTGGATCCCAAAAGATGAAAGGTAGAAGCCTTGAAACATTTCTACCCAGGGGATTCCCTAAACTTTATGCAGATTGGACTATCCCATCCCAGTAATCATAAAGTTCTCTAAAATGAGGAAAAGGAAAGGGCATGTTTATATTATGCAATGAATATCCCATTACACCCTTTCTACAGAATCGTGGATGCTCTCAAGTGTGATACTCACAATTTGTAACAACTCTCTTGGGACAGGCATTTACCTAATCAGAATGGAATCTAACACAAACCTTACTCGAATGCTTATCAGTCTAGTCTACATGTCTAACATATGCATAACTAAAAGCTATGATTTAAGAAATTCTAAGATAACTCCATTAGTAGAAATTGTAATATTCTAAAAGTGTTTAAATGCCATTATACCTTCTTAAAAACATAAAAATTAATAAATAGCTATTTTATGAACACTTCTCATCAACACAATTACAATGCATGCATATTGGTAGCAGGGGTTTCTTTGAGCATAAATATTCTGGACATACAGTTTCAGGAAAGGATTTGTGAGAATTAATGTCACACTTGAATCTGGAAAAATAAATAGGGCTAAGCCATGAAGAACTAGGATTAGAAAACTGATGTAAATGTCATACACAAAAATCCCGAGTGAGAGGCCATGGGGTGTCAGAAGACTAACAGTCATTGAATCTGGCAGAGGTACAAAGTTCAGGAAGGGCAATTATTGAAAAATGATGCTAGAATTATTAATAGGGGTCAGATTAGAAAAACCCTTAGAAGTAATTATATAGATTTTGGGTTTTATTATGAAATTAGTGTAAGAAGTAAAATGTCTTAAACACAAAAGATGACAGGATAAAATTTGAGTTATTAGAAACTTAACTTTATAATATAAAGAGCTGACTAGAAGTTGTAGAATAGATGAAATGAGATCAGTTTTAGACCCTGCTTTATGTTTTATAACATGCCTTCAGGCTGAAGGTCCCTCTGCAGTGTGTCTACAGCAAATGCCTGGAGAGTTGTGATTGTTGATTTATGCCTGATTTCCTAAATCCGTGTGGTAATCCAAGCAAGCAATTCTGATGAAAGCAGAGCAACAAAGAAGATTCCTTCTTTCTCAACTACTGTACAGAAAGTCCTTGAATGATATCATTGTGTTCAACGTTGTTTTGTTATAACTTTAATAGGGAAAAAACGTCCCTCGATTTTTAGCCAGGAACACTGGTTATGTGGATTTTGCATATTCTCCCCATGTCTGCGAGGGTTTTCTCCAGGTACTCAGGTTTCCTCCCATACTCCAAAGCTGTGCACGTTAGGTGAATTAACATGTCTAAACAGTTCAGTCTGAGTGAATATGGGTGTATGTGAGTGTGTGCTGCAATGGAATGGTATCCTTTCCATGGTAGCTTCCTGCCTTGTGTCCTGTTTCTGGAATAGGCTCCAGCCACCTACGCATAGCCTTGAACTGGAATAACTGGGTAAATACTTATCTTACTTTTTAATTATTTTTTCTTAAATATCTGCATAGTTAAAATTTATTTCAATGTTTAATATTAATAGTGTTTTATGACTTTAAAGGGGAATATTTAAAAAAATTTAAACACAGTGTTTTGGTCTTTCTTTAGAAGCTTTGTAACTTTTTTTGACCAGAAATATGCGTCATAAACTTAACTCTTGTCTACATCAATCACGCTCTGATAAAATTAGTCTCACATGTCATTTTGCTTAACATCACAGTTTCCAAGAGCCTACAGAAAATGTTAAGTGTGGACTTACTGTTTATTTCAAGCTTTTTGAGTATGTGTATTGTACGTGTTGTAAGCTAACTTTGTGAGGGTAAAATATTATTTTCATTAATAACATGTTAAAGAAACATTTTTTGCCAAAGAAAAAATCTAATCACAGATTGAGAATGATTTAGAGTTGGAAGACAGGCATCAAAACCTATGAAATGGAACATATTATTCAACTTTTAAATAGAAGAGAGATAAGCTGATTAGTGAAAAGCCTTTCAGTTGGTCTTCCATATTTATGGGCTCTGCATTCTTGGATTTAACCAATGGGATATAAACTATTCACACATAAAACAAGGATGTTTGTGTCTGTACTAAACATTTACAGATTTTTCTTACCTTGTCATTATTCTTTAAACAATAAAGTATAACATTATTTGTATAGCATTTACATTTTATTAGGTGTTATAAGTAATCTAGAGATGAAAAAGTATACAGGAGGATGTGCATGGGTTACATGCAAAGTACTACCTCATTTTATATAAGGGGCTTGAACATCCATGAATTTTGGTATTTGAGGGGTGTCCTGGAATCAAAGCTCCCTCACCACAACCCCCTGCACCTAAGAATACTGAGGGCTTCCAATTGTACATCATTGCCCGTTGCCATTTGTAGTACAAATTTTTCTTAGGTTAACAACCCACATCTGTTGGGAGTAAAAATTATTTCATTTTTGTTTCATCACTTATTAATTACAATCACAGGTAGATTCAGTATCTATCCTTATTACTACCTATCTATTCACCTTTGCTGAGGTGAACAGGAAAGGCTGGCTCAGGAATTATGCTGATGAATAAAACATCAATGACCTAGCCTCAGCATACCAGGAGGTCTGGCTATGAGGGAGAGAGGAAAGTGCAGGTCAAGAAGATAAATGTTATGACATTAATCTATGTGAAGCAGATAGATGGATGATTATGTTATGAGTTCCAAAGAGGTTTGATTGGATAGACTTGAGGCAATTTGTTCACATTTAGACCCAGAATTCTTAAATTTAGGGCATGATATTTGAAGCTGTGATAGTCTAGGAAACCTAAAACAGAAAAATAGTTAAACTTAGGTCACTTTTTTTGAGAAATATTCAAGCAGAGCATATCAGGAGTTATATGGTCTTCTCTGTGACAATTTTCTCATTACAAAAGGAATTTTGAGTAAATATTACCTTCATTTCTTTCAATCCAAGGATTATGTGATTCTGTATTATAGTTTAGGGTATGTATTTACTTTATATATATATATATTTACTTTATGTATATATGTATTTACATATTATATATAGTATATATTATTTATGTATTACTATATATATATTTATTATGTAAAAATATGTATTTACCTGAAGTCTTTGGATATCTATTTTATTCATGTAAATATTTAGGTAGACTAAAAGCATAGATATAAAAAGCACATCTACATAAAGGAAAAAAGTTTCAAATTGAATGACAAGAACATACAATAAAAATGCAAGTATATAATTACCAGAAACACATATTCAATGAAACGTACAAAGGCATAATCTTAGATGTAATCGTATCTATAAATTGTCAAGATTTGCAGTGAATTTAGGATAAAACTATAAAATATCGAATTAGTAAGCCTATGAGAATAAAAATATCTCTGAATGAGATGTTATTACAGGTTTCTTATTTTTTTAATAACATCTTCCAGTAAAGACATACCCTGTCAATTTTGGATTGGGGAAAATCACCATATATTGCTACTCAATGTTCATCTTCATTTTGGAAATACACAACCATGTATGGATTTGTAAAGAATAAAGAAAATATCTTTTTTACTTAAAAGACATATCTTTTAGTAAGTCATAGTTAAATATGAGCCTATTTTGCCTTTTTGGTTTTCTAATTTGACTATATAGGCAGAAATTAAGGTCATCTAATATATTAAGAAAAGTTATGGAACACGTGAGTGCCATGGCTATTCTGAGTGTTAAATTTCTCACAAAAGACTAGGTACTGATGCTCAAAACAGTCTTTTCCAAAAATTATTTGTTTTGAACATTTCTTAAATTATGATATTTCTATTACTCTGATTATGAATTTGATTTGGGCTGCTAGAGAACAGCTGTTTGGCATTATTAATATAATTATAAAACCTGCTACTACAAATTCCTAGATTGGAAATAAAACAGCAAATAAAGTACCAAGAATATCAAATGATAGCACTTGCCTACCTATATTTTTTGTTCTTAGAGGTTATATCTGTTTTCTGTCTGTTTTGTGAATATAGCTTAAGGCATTGACAGGTCATTGACTCTATGAGGTGTTATTCTGTACAAGTAGGCCTCTTATCTTTATTATTCAATTTGCAAGTAACAAAGGACCTTTTGTATTTCCTCTGTCAAAGATGATCCTGAGAGCACATAATGATATTCTCATTGGTGTACAATTGTTCCATCTTTGAAGAGGTTAGTTATACCATTTACAACATTCTTGGAATGCATATTTTCTAAAAAATGAACACATGTACAATTTTTTAAATAAATAAATGTATTATCTCATACCACAATAAGTCCAGATGTGAGGTAGCTGCCAAAATTGTTAAATAACTAATGACATTAGGAACTCAGGTTCCGTTCATCCTTAGTGTGTCAGCTTAGTTAGCCTCATTGTGATACTGAAGGTTTGTCAGACTTCATATCCAAGCAAGGTGTCCAATCAATGAAGGCAGATTATCTCCTTTCTTTCCCTGTAGTCTATTTTTTATCACAGAAAATATTTCCCAGAATCCTCTCATCAAACTCTCTCTCAAAAAAATGTGTTTTAATGGTGTTGCATCACTTCCCATTTATAAACAAATTTTGCTAAGGAAAATGGCATTGTTATAATTAATTATAGATGGTTGTTTAGAAATTCCAGATTACCCAAATATAATTCTGACATTACCATTACCAAGGAAGAAGCTACTGGTAGTCATAAATCAGTTTATCACAGAACTATGAACCAGCCTGGCTGAAACATTTCAAGTCAGAGGATGAATTGTTAAAAATTAAATAGAAGTCATTTTCTCTGTTCTTTATGAATTTAAGACTTTTGAAACCAACCAAAATGTACATAAGAAAAGTATATGTAGAGTCAATACACATATAAACCAATTTAATAATGAAAAGTAGCCATCAAAGTATCTAGTATAGTATACTAAATTAATTTTACTAGTACATTTTATTTAATACATTACAACCAAGATGTTTTTACTTCAACATGTAATTAATTTGAAGAATATTTTGAATATATTTTGCATAATTTTTCATACTAAGTCTTTGAAATCGAGTGTGTATTTATGCTTAAAATACTTCCCAATTTGGGCTCGCCACATTTCAAGTGTTTAATAGATACGTGTGGCTAGAAGCTACCAAATTGAAGAGCTCAGTAAATCGTTTCAGAAACTATAACTTTTGTAGTTAACATGCCAGTTTGATACTCCTATCTACAATTCCCAGGGAATAATGCATACATGTTAAGAATGATGTAGGTGGCCAGGCGTGGGGAGGCTGAGGCGGGCGGATCACGAGGTCAGGAGATCAAGGCCATCCTGGCTAACACAGTGAAACCCCGTCTCTACTAAAAATACAAAAAATTAGCCCAGCATGGTGGCAGGCACCTGTAGTCCCAGCTACTCGGGAGGCTGAGGCAGGAGAATGGTGTGAACCCAGGAGGCGGAGCTTGCAGTGAGCCGAGATCACACCACTGCACTCCAGCTTGGGTGACAGAGGGAGACTTGGTCTCAGAAAACAAACTAACAAACAAACAAACAGAAAACCAGAATGATGTAAGTATATTTAGAAGAATTTAACAATGGCTTTTCTAGAAGAGTCATCTATTCTACTTCTGAACTGAATGATCTTAGACAAACTGTTTTATCTGTATAGGTCTCAGTCAATTCATCTGTAAGATGGGGATCATAATTCTACCTAGTAACAGTGTTATCAGATTGTTATGAATATTAGGCAAAATGTTCACAGATAAAGCACATACCATCATGACAAACAAGCTCTAATTATAAAATCAGTGACATTAATTGTTGAAAATTAATTCAAAATTGTTAGCTGAATTTTTTTTTCTGTTTTTTTCCAAAAAGGAATGTCATCATTTACATATTTAAATCAATATTTCCATATTATGGCTCCCAATGGCTAAATATAAGTATTTTGCATTTACTACTTAAAATCATGCTAGATAACAAATATATAATTAGGAAAACATAAGTTTTGATTCTGTCGGAGTTTATTCTCACTTTATGAGTCATAGAACATACAGGAAGTTCTTTGCAGATAATTGCTCCCTGTGGTCCAGAAGTTAACAGATTGAAAGTAATAGCACATATTTCTCAGTACCTATTTAATTGACTCAGTAGACTAAGTATGTAATAACTCCATAATATTCAAATGTTTCAGAATATCTGTCTCAAATAAATCCTATTCAAGGTAGTGCCCAGAAAAAGATTTAAAAAAAAAAAAATAACAGGTCCCAATTAGATACATTTTTCTATTTAGCTAAAATCTAATCTGCTGGAAAATTAAATCTTTGAAAGCAGCAAATCTTACCTTTGGTATTATTAAATGACTTGTGGGCTCTCTAGCTAAAAGAGAGTAATATGAGTCATAAGCTATTGTATCTTTTGCTATGATGTGGGTCTTGAAAGCAAGGGGAATAGAATAAGTTAGAAATGAACAGATAAGTGAAGTTTAGGGGACATGTTCTTACTTTTTCATTTCCAGAAAAAAAGAGTAACAGAATAAATAAATCTGGCTACAACTGGGAAAAAAGTCAATAAATCAAATTCAGAAATTTTGCTATCATTACATTAAATATACTGATTGTGTGATGAGTACTGTGCAAAAAGGACGCAGGTATTTTGATAAAGATATTTTACATAAATCAGTCAAAATATATGTCTTGACCTGTTTGTGTGACAAAAAAGCATTAATTTGCTGCAAAGAGATTCTCAATATTTCATTCAAAGGTTTTTTTCTTATTAATAAAAGTTGCTATCACTGCACAGGGATACATTGTTTGAATGCTTAGGTTGATAGTGTGAGAAATACATGGTGGAACTAATAGAGATACAAATAAAATGAAACCAATATAACTCGTGTTGCATTTCCTACTAGATATGATAAACATTATATACAAATAAAGAATTAGCATAAAAATTAGAAAAACATTTTTAAAACTTACAGCATATATTTCAAAACATGACAAAAATACATAGAAGAAATGATGTCATATTTCTTCAAAATCATTTTTGGGGTTAATATTTATTTTGTAATATTATATAAAACAAGGAACTATTTGTTTCATGCTTAGGGAATCTAGATATCTTAATCTGACCCTGCTCATTATGCAGAAAATGAGCCATGTATAGATTTGGGCCTGATTGACTGTGAACAAATTAAAGAAACTACTTCAGGTCCCTCAAATTGTTAGGGCTATTAAGTCTGAAATAGGTTACAGAAAATAAATGATCCTCTACCAAAGTCATTTCAGGGACTCTTAGGAAGGAGTTGGGTTGGCTTGGGTTGAGAAAGGTCAACCAAAAAACAAAGATCAAATGCAACAGAAGGCAGCATCAGATTCAACAGAATGGAAGGATTTATAGTGGTGAGGAGGGGAGAAATGGGGATGGTTAACAGGTACAAAAATATAGTTCGATAGAATGAATAAGATCTGGTATTTGATAGTACAACAGAATGACTACAGTCAACAATATTTTATTGTACATTTTAAATAACTAAAAGAGTATAAATAAAATGTTTGTAACACACACAAAAAGAATAAATGCTTGAGGCGACAGATACTCCATTTACCATAACATAACTGTTACTACACATTGTCCTCCTGGATCAAAATATCTCATGTACCCCCAAAACATATATAGCTACTATGTTTCCATAAAAAATAAAAATAAATAATAATATAAAAAGGGAGGTAAGGAAGCATTTTCCTCTATACTCATTAGTCTGTGTGTTTCTGCAAAGGAGTGAACTGTTTTTCTTGACCAGTTCTTCAATAGAAAGAGAAATCCAAGAGTTTGCCTGCATGTTTTTAACAGTCTAGCAGAATGTTTCCTGACTACAAGAGACTAAAGAGATCAATTTAAAACTATATGTGATCTTTTATTAACAAAAGAAAATTCATGTTGCTAACTAATTTTTGAATCTTGATCTTGGCTATCAAGAAACTCAGAGATAAACATTTAACTACTTTTAATTATTATACATTTTTTTTCATTTCACAATTTATTGTGTAGATCTTTTCATATTCACATGTTTAGATGTAATAGGGTATGTCTTGGGTACTGAGAACCAGTAAGAAGTGACTAGAAACACATGAAAGCAAACGGACCAACAAAAAAAGCCTGAGTTTCAACCTCAACTCTTTTTTGCTAAAAATTATCTCTACCAAACTTTCCAATTAGCAACAGCTACAACAAAACCGCAGCAGTGAACATTTATTGAATATTTGTATATGTTACTGACATGATTATTTTATTCAATACTCACAATGCCCTTTAAGATATATACTGTGGCTATTCTCATTTTACTGATGAAGAACATGAGGATTAGAACAATTAACTTGCCCAAGGTCACAGAACTAGCAAAGTGGTGGACTCAGTATTTAAACTCTGGACTGTCTGACCCCTACAGCACATTCTTAATCAGTTTGTCTTCCCATTACTGGGTATATACCCAAAGGATTATAAATCATTATACTATAAATATGCATGCACATGTATGTTCATTGCGGCACTATTCACAATAGCAAAGACTTGGAACCAACCCAAATGTCCATCAATAATAGACTGGATAAAGAAAATGTGGCACATATACACCATGGAATACTATGCAGCCATAAAAAGGATGAGTTCATATCCTTTGCAGGGACATGGATGAAGCTAGAAACCACCATTCTCAGCAAACTATCACAAAAACAGAAAACCAAACACCGCATGTTCTCACTCATAAGTGGGAGTTGAACAATGAGAACATATGGACATAGGGAGGGGAACATCACACACCGGGGCCTGTTAGTGGGTGGGAGGCTAGGGGAGGGATAACATTAGGAGAAATACCTAATGTAGATGATGGGTTGATGGGTGGAGCAAACCACCATGGCATGTGTATACCTATGTAACAAAACTGCACGTTCTGTACATGTACCCCAGAACTTAAACTATACCTTTAAAAAATGAGTTATGTACATGAATACTCAGGTTGAATAATTTATATTTAAACTAAAAATGGAAGGAAAGCCACATCCTTAGAGTACAGCATTCAATTAGATGAATAAATCTTTTTTATTTTACCATTCCTTTTATCAGTTACATTCACTATAATTACCTTGTGTGCACCTTATATTCAGATATACTTAGTATATTATTAATTTAATAAACATATTAGTTATGAATACATATGGATGATATTCAGATTATATCTAAACAGAGTAGATCTAGTTTATTTCCAGGCTAGTTATATTGAGTTGAAAACATACTGTGCTACAATAAAAATAATTCAAAATATACTGATTAGGTCTTTGATCAAAGGCCTTTATTCTTCAAGCTGTTAGAGAGGAGGTTAACTAATTTATTAGTGACTGTTAGGAGTACATGAATATGAGATATTAGTTAAGCCCAAAGGAAAGGAAGTTGGTTTATTTAGCATTTAGCTTTCTTCGTATGCTCCTTAATTATTTGTTGCAAATTTCAATACAATCTACTTATTGCTTTATTTGCTTCCCTGTGATCATTAATTTTGTTGCCAAAACAAGAATTTTAGGTTTGCATAACATATAATTTCTAAATAGTGTGCACACATTACTTTACCTCTCCCTCACAACATCCATGTACAGTAGGCAGAGTAGAGCTTATTTTCTAATTTATTTACTGATCATGAAAATGAGACTTAGTCAATCTGGTCAAAATCCTTGGCTACAAAGTGGAACATTTAGAACCAACCACAGGCCTTTTAATTTCATAACATAGGCTCTTCCCCAACACATTCTATAAACAATTTCTAGCTTCTAAAGTTGTAAAGCCATATTTTTGTTTTATCTTCACCTTGGTGAGGTATTCGTAATTTCAGGATGGTACTAATAAAGTGAAAGTAGAAAACGTGAAATCAGAATTTTTCAAATTCTTGTTGTAAAATATCAATTTTGCTCCACTTCTCAACTTCATTAGTCTCACTACAACCATAAAATCAAGACACATCTACAATATATAAAATACTTGGTAATATAATACATTATGAGTATACAATACTTAGATATCAAAAAGAGTATTTTATCTTTCAATCTAAAACTCCTAACTTTATGTACCAGTTGTAGTCATTTTTTCCTTAGAAATATGTTGCCCAAACATCATAAAATTTTAGAAATGTAAGCAAATCATACATTATAAAACATTTAGAGTTGTAAGAAAAGCAGATTGAAAAAATAAAATGTAATTTGTCTTTCTAGAAATAACAGTGACTAATATTTTAAATGCTATTTTAATATTTAAAATTATTATCAAATTAGTATTTCACATTCATATTTTATTGCATTTTTGTGTGTTCATATTATTTATAAATATTTATAATATTTTACATGTGCCTATGCAGCCATGTACATATAACAATGTTTACATAATTAGAAACATTGTTTTATTTTATTTATTTATTTATTTTGAGACAAAAATCTCACTGTGTCACCCAGGCTGGAGTGCAGTGGCATGATTTTGGCTCACTGCATCCTCTGCCTCCTGGGTTCAAGTGATTATTTTGCCTCAGCCTCCCGAGTAGCTGGGACTAAAAGTGCACCACACCTATCAAATTTTTGTATTTTTAGTAGAGATGAGGTTTGACCATGTTGGCCAGGCTGGTCTCAAACTCCTGACCTCAGTTGATCCGCCCGCCTTGGCCTCCCAAAGTGCTGGGATTACAGGCATGAGCTACCACACCAGGCCAGAAACACTGATTTAAATATGGTCTCTCTTACATAGTATGGCATTGTAAAAATGTTTCTGTTATCCAATTTTTTCAAATATTATTAAGAATTATTTTTAGAGTATACAAAAATACCGGAGACTTGACACAGCAAGACTGACACAGCCGTTCCACAGTGGCTGAACCTTAAATTGCTTTTTGGTATAGAAATATCTGATATACTAAATCCCCATTTTTCCTCTCCCATATCTGGTCATCTAGCATCCATCCAGTTTTCTCCCCTCCAATGCATTTCATAAAAATAGAGTGCTTTTTACATTCATTTTTGATAATACTACTTCCCTAAATTGCTGCCCATTTTTCTCAAGGTATAAATTAAGACTTTGTCAGATCATACAAGGCACTGCATGAATTTGCCCCCCATGGTTTTGTCATTCTCCTAACAAACCTCCCTATTCTCACAATGCAGTTCCAACTGCATTGGTCAGCCTCCCTCCCACACCAGGAATAGCATATGCATCTTTCTGTCTGCCAATAATCCTACACAAGTGTTATCCTGGCTAATAACAGCCAGAATAGTAGCTAACACTTGAAAATCTTGTGCAATAGATTGAAAAATACTAATTGCTGCAGGCTGAATAGTGTTTCCTTGAATACATGTGTTAAGTCCCTAACTCCTCATGTGACTGTATTGTAGAAAGAGTCTTGGAAGAGGTGATTGAGGTTAACTGAGGTCGTAAGGTGTGGAGTTCGAATCTGATAAGGCTGATCCTCACATAAGAAGAGGAAGAAACACCAGAGCTCTCTCTTTCTCTACTATGTGAGAACACAGCATGATGGCTATCTTCAAGACAGGAAGAAAACCTTCACCAGGAACAAAACCCTACCAGAAATGTTATCTTGGACTTTCTAACCTCCAGAACCATAAGAAATAAATTTCTGTTGTTTAAGCCATACAGCTTATGGTATTTTGTTATAGTAGCCCAAGAAGGTTAAGACAGATTTTGGTACTAAGGAGTAGAGTTTTCGTGTAAAAAATACCTAAAAATATAGCAGTAGCTTTGTAACTGGATATTAGGTAGAGGCCAGAAGAGTTATGAAGTATATGCTAGAAATACATATAGATATTATAGGAAATTTTGGTGATGTCTCAGAAATAAGAAACAGATTACTGGAGGCCGGGCACAGTGGCTCACGCCTGTAATCCCAGCACTTTGGGAGGCTGAGGCGGGTGGATCACCTGAGGTCAGGAGTGCGAGACCAGCATGGCCAATATGGTGAAACCTCATCTCTACTAAAAATATAAACATTAGTCAGGCGTGATGGCATGCACCTGTAACCCCAGCTACTCAGGAGGCTGAAGCAGGAGAATCACTTGAACCCAGGAGGCAGAGGTTGCAGTGAGCCAAGATCACCCCATTGCAGTCCAGCCTGGGCAACAAGAGTGAAACTCCATCTCAAAAAAAAAAAAAAAAAAGAAAAGAAACAGTTTACTGGAAACTGGAGGAAGCTAAGACTTGTTATAATGTGGCAAATAACTTACCTAAGTTGTGTTCTAGTATTTTGTGGCAGGTAGAAGTTGTAAGCAATAAAATGTTTAGCAGAAGAAATTTCTAAGCAAAGCATTGAAGGTGCAGCTTAGGTTCTTTTTATGATTGTAGTAAAATATGAGAGGAAATAGATGAATTGAAGATGGAATTGGTGATTAAAAAGGAACAAGAACTCAGAGATTTGAAAAATTCTCAGTTTATCTATGATACAAAAATGAGAAAGCTTGTTCTTTAGAGAACACTAAGAATGTGGCTGAATAACCATTTGATAAAGAGATCATAGGTGTGATTCATGGACTTAATTACCCATTTAAGCAGAAGCCAGGAATAGAGATAGAATTACACCAGCAGAAACACTGCCAACTGGGACTAAAAGGGGCAGAAAAAAAAAAAAAGAGATAAAATGAAAGAAAGTGTCAAACTTTTTAGATCCTACATGACCCAATCATAAAACTATTCTACTGTAAATGCACTATTCTTCAAAAAAAAGAAAGAATGACCTTGAAGGTAATTCAGAGATCATCAGTGCTGCCTCCTCAGTTTCAAAGGATGGGTCTAGTGCCTCTGTTTTAATAAGCTAAACAGTCTCCAGCCAGAGATGTGGGTGAGGGGTTGCCTAAAGCCTTGAGTGTGGGATCCCCTCCTAGCAGAGTGTTGGGAACATGACAACTGCTCAGTAAAGCCATAGGAGCAGATTGTCACCCTAGTGGGTCCAGAAGACAGGGAAGCAAGCCAAAGAGGATTATTCTCAAGTCTTAAGTTGTAACATTTGTCTTGCTATGTTTTGGACTTGCTTAGGACCCTTCACTCTCTTTTTTTCTTACTTCTTCCTTTTGAAATTTTGGAAACGAGTAACTTGCCTGGTTTCACAGCTTCAGAGCTAGAGAAGCTTAAGAAAAATTTTGCCTCAGGATGAACTGTACCTTAAATTTTACCCATAACTGATTTAGATAATATTTAGATGAAATTTTAGACTTCAGACCTTAGAGTTGATGCTGTAACGACAAGACTTTTGGGGCTGCTGAAATGGAAAAAATGAATTTTGCATGTGATAAAAACATGAATTGAGCTGGCAAGAAGGCAGGAAAATAATGCTGTGGAAAGAACTATATCTTGCCAAAATTCATAGTTGAATTCCTAACCCCCAATGTAGCTATATTGGAGTTAGGTTATTTTAAAGAGGTAGTTAAGGTTAAGTGAGGTCATAAGAGTGTAACTCTAATCCTGTAGGGCTGGTACCCTTATATAAAGATGAAGATACACCAGAGCTCTCTCCCTCATGTGAGAACACAATGAGAACACCACTGCCTGCAAATCAGGAAAAAAGCCCTCACCAAAACCAAAACCCTGCCAGAACCTTGATCTTGGACTTACCAGACTCCAGAACTGTGAGAAATAAATTTCCGTTGTTTAAGCCAAGTGTATGGTATATTATTATAGTACCTAAGGGGCCTAAAATACCAATTTAATACAACCCTGCATAATAGATCAATTAAATATAATGGCATATTTCAGATTAGAACACAGACATTTAGAGACATTAGGCAACTTACTCAATAGTCAAATGACTGGAATAGAACAAGGCCACTTGACTTTCCTTAGGAAGCTCCTATTCATCCTTCAGGGATCAGCTTAAATAACATCTTCTTAAAGGAAGTATAGCTGAACCCTGAACTAAGTTAGATAAGACTATTTTATGTTCTTAAATTGCAAAATATATTTCTATTTTAAAATTAGTATTCAATATTTATTTGCAGGTTGGTTTAGTTTCCTTATGCCTCATTTTGGAATCTCAGAATTGTAATTCCTCTCTTCTTTACCTCTCTATGCCAGCTACTATTGCAGTGGTCTCCATTTAGTAAACTTCAATAAATACTTCTTGAGTAAATAAACTCTTGACACAGTTGTTAAATATTTCATTGAAGTGTGTGTATAAATTTGGAATTGTTGATAAAATATATTATTATACCTGATGGCTAATTTTATGTATCAACCTGACTGGGTCATGAGGTGCCCAGATATCGGGCCTTGAAACTCAGACTGGAGCTTCAGCACTGGCTTTTCTCCATGTCCAAGTTGCAGATGGCAGACCACAGAACTTCCCAGTTTCCATCATTGCATGAACCAATTTCTTATAATAAATCTCTTTTTCTCCATCTGCCTCTTTCTCATTTTATGTACACACACACACACACACACACACACACATATCCTATTGGTTCTGTTTTTCTGGGGAATCCTGACCAATACACTATATATTTAAAATATTAGTTTTTCTATTTATTAAATTTTCTTTATTTGAAATTATGAAAAAAAGAAAAGTATGAATCACTAAACATCAAAATCCTATCACAAGAAATGGCTACTTTTTTATTTCCTAGATATTTATAGAATGAAAGGCTCAGTCTAGCTATTTAAAAGTAGCATTTCTTATTAACACATTCTGATTATAAATAAAATGTATGTTGATATATAAAATTGAGAGGTCACGGTGTAATGGGAATTAGATTAATGCCATAAACTAGCCCTGGTCTGTGCTATGAAAAGGTATGAGATGAAGTCAGAATTTACACTATCTTTCTACATCGGTTGTTCTTAGCAAGCCAAGAAATTAATTTAAAAGTTGACTAGAATAAGTACAAAGTCTTTAGGCCTAAGAATAAGTAAATTAAAACTTCTATTTGCAGCTGGGAGCTCTCACAAAAAATACAAACCTACATGTATGAGCATGCAATCATCTATACTAAAGATCACAATCTAAATCTATGAACCATATAAGGAAATGAACTAAAATCTGAGTTATCAAATTCAATATGCAGAAAAATTAGCTCCCCAAACTGGAAAACACCTATATAATAACTCCAATGAATATCCTCAATTTCAATCATCTCCTAGCCTATTTATTGTTTTCTTTTTCTGAAGTTTTCTTATGTTTTCTAAAAAATGTTCTCTTTATCACTAAATCAAGATGTCATTTTGTCAATTTTGGGCTTTACTGCTTCTAAAGAACTTATAATTCTGCAGTTGCAGTTTTAGCTTTCTATTATTTTCCCTGTGATTTCTCTTGTGATTCTCTCATAATTTTCTGCTTCTTCTTTCCCAGAGGACAAATCGTCATATTATTTTGAAACTATGAAGAAGTTTCTTAAATTCATAGGAATCAAGATGCATATTCCCCCAAGTCTTTAGTGTAGTTCTCTCTTTTCATTCCTCTTTTAGTTTGTTTGTTTACCACATATAGCTTTTTTTCCCTCCTTTATGTGTCTTTGACCAATGTACTAATCAAGCATTATTGGTATGCAGATTGGCTCAGGTGAAGGGAGGCTAAAATTACTTCCCAGATCTAAATGTAGAGAGTCATTAGATGTAGGATTCTCAGATTATTTTCTTCTTTGCCTCTTTCAGAGTGTGGCCTTCTTCTGTAGCTGCTGTAATATCCCAGTGTAGTACATAGAAGTATTAAAATCCCTACTCTCTGTAGTTGGCAGAGAGTTCCATGTTTCAAACACTGCCTGTAAAACTGTACATATTTTATTCAAGATCTTAGTTAATGCCTTCCATGTGATAAGTGATATGGATTTATTAGTAAATAGAGCAGACAAAAAGTCTGCCCTTCTGTAATATATAATCTACTTAGAAAAGTTCCCAGGATGTAACATGTTAATGCCAGTCATTCTATCTACTTCCATTTCTTACCATTGTTCTCTGAGAGTTATAAATTTAAATGGGAGTGGAAACATATGTAATGGAATAAAAAAGACTTTAGATGGATTAAAAAGTTGCAGCCACACAGTAGTGCATATCTATATAATTTTCCTGCTGTTTTAATCCATGAGTTTTTGAGTTTGGGACATGTACCATGTTTTATTTTGTTTCTTAATTTTGTTTGAGGGGCATCCATTTTATGAAATGAAGCCCAGTAATGCCAAAAAACAAAACATGAATAATGCTTTACTCTTGAAATAGGTTGGTTGATTTTAGAGTTATCCATTGTTTCCCCAGATTCCTTCTTTCTTTATTATTATTATTAGATTTATTATTTTTCCTTTCATTTTATTTATTTTATCTTAATAGTTATTTAAATGAAAGATAAAATAGATTGTGTCAGGATATTTTCCCAAACTCAATTTTAAATCAGAAGTTCTAAAGCTACATTTTCAAATAGTCTACATTTTTAAAAGCAGTATAACAGGCAATTTAAAAGTGTGCTCTCAGGAGTCAGTGTTTCATTGAGCATGTAATATTTACTGTAGTGTAGAAGCTGTGATACTTTCTTAGGTTACTTCACCTTTCTGTGACTTGGGTTCCTCTTCTGTAAAACTGAGTAATGACGCCATCCATTAATCCATTGCATAAATTAAATAATAAAATAACTTGTAGAACACTCAAAAAATTGTCAAGCGAATACCTACATTATCATTAGCAGATTACTATTATTTTTCTAATTGCAGCACAAATTCGTCAATGCAACAAATGCCTACTTTATGTTATGGAGAGTAAGTGATAGAACGCATGTATGGTACTTAGCAGAGAACCTGGGAAACAGTGATCCATGAGGGTTAACAAAAACAACAATAATGATACCATTATCATTATGTACTTTTGTATACGTGTGTAAGAAAAAGAAGCAAAAGGTAACATATACAATGCAAAATGTTAGGTTACTACTGAAAAGCTTTTCTTTCTTTTCCAAAATAGCACTATAATGTACTTTTTAACTCTCATATTGAACAAAATAATCCAAGCATGTTGCATCAAATTTCTGAGAGCATGAGCCTAACTTAGACCCCAATATACACTTTCAGAACTGATACCAATGCGCACGCACGCACGCGCGCACACACACACACACAGAGAGACAGAGAGACATACACAACACAAACACATGCCAGGTCTTTATTCACTTAAGATTTAGAACAGTTAAGACTTTCTTAGGTGCTTTGTGAAATTTAATTTCTAATCCACAGATGTAAAATTTTGCTATATAATGGAAAAATAACGTATCTGGGAAAGCTATACATGTATCTGGGAAACTATAATGTACCTGGGAAAATAATGTATCTAATAACCTGGAAAGTAGATACAAGGAGGTATCTCCAAGAGGCTTGTCATCTTGTGGAAAATCAAGAGTGAAATAACAGGCATTGAAAATAATTTATGTGACTCCAGACCCCAAGGAATTTTTTTAGCTAGCTAGTTTTACTGGCTTCTAAAGCTACTAATGCAATAAGTGATTTAATGCATTAATATCTTTGTGGGTTTTCAACAGTTTGCATAACTTCTATGGAATTCTGTGGAAACAAATCTGACATATTTACTCAGTGATGGTGGTATAAAATAATTCCAACAAAAAGTAATTTAATTTCTATTATGATTTTAACCTCACAACCAATCTATGGAGGGAATATTATCTCCAATGCAGTATATTAGAAGGAAAAGTTTTTTTCATAAATAATTTATAGTAGAGTGAAGCAAGTTTAATTTGGAAGCAAGGACCCTTCCCTAACACTAAGTTGATTCCCAAATATAGAAAAAAATGCAAGTAAAAAATTTATACAAAAAAGTTTTACAACTGCAGTGAGGTGTTGTTTCTCCATACAAAAATATTTTTAAAAATGAACAAAATATCTCATGCTATGTTCAAAACATGTCTTTTTTCCTCTATGAATTAAACAGCATCCCAAATATCCATTTCATAAAAGATGCAAAGGAAAGTCTCTTTGAATTACGGAAAAGTTTTCCCAGGCCTATTCTCAACTCTGCAAAGAAAACTGATTATTTTTATTCCAAGAACTGTTTTACTTTAGTCTTTGGATAATAAACCCTATGTATGACAGCCTTGATGTACATTCCAGAAAAAATATGTATTTTCATTTGTTCTATATTTGTTTTTCACCTTTTACCTAAGCCACATATTTGTATGCACTCTTTTAGCACTTCTGAATCTGCTGATGTAGATTCATTTTTAATGTTAAATTTTCATTACAGTGTATGTATGCTAGTTGTAGATGAATTAGAAGACAAAACAGTTAATTAACAGAGAAAATGCATTGTTTGTTGAAAGTTGAGTTATAGGAAAAGTAAATCAAGGAAAGAACATCAAGAGTGCCTGCGAGTTGCTGTAGGAGTGACAGAAGACCTCACTGAGAAGGTGACAGGATAAAACTGAGAGTGTGAAGGAGCAAGGGCTGTGGCTATCAAGGACAAAACAGGTGCCAAGTGATAATAAGTCTATTAAACACTTAATAGAATAGTCAGACTAACTGGAGGTGAAGGAGCCAGAGAGAAAGTGATAGAGATGTGGTTAGAGATGTAACAGGTGGCTGGATTCTCGTAACCCATTCTTCGCTCCTTGACTTGACTCTGAATATCTGGGGAGCCATTGGAGAGTTGTGAGCTGACATATATTTATAGAATCACTCTGGCTCCATTTTGAAAATAAATTCAAAGTGAACAAGAGCAAAAGCAGCACAACAGTTAAGAGGCTTTTGCAATTATCTGGACATGTCAGTAATGGCAAAGTTTATTAAACATTTATTACTCAAGGTCTTAATTTTTAAAATTCCTATTGAAGTTAAAAATTCTCAATTTTAAATACCAACTAAATCTTCAAGTCTTAGAATGTATGAATAGTAGCTTCCTTACCTCACTCTTATGTTCATTGCACAGAGGCAAGCATGTTCATGACCTTAAGGTGCCCCCATCCCCAGTATATTTTGCTCCTTATTTCTAAATCACATATTTTTCATGCAGTCTCTTTTCAGCTTTGGACACTATTTTTAGGCATTCTACAATGGAAAATAAAAATTTAGCCTTCTTACCTCCCCTTCCTACTGACAGACATGATACACACATGCTTATAAACATACATCCCATTAGCCTATTTTATAAATATAGTCAGATTTAGCTAGACAAAATATCCAGCAATTCCTTATATAAAATTTGTTTTTCTAATATTTGCATATCTTAAAAAATGTTGGAATGAAGGGCCTTGTTCACATATTTAGCAAGTGTGTTCAGTTATTGCCTTATGACAAATTTATAGAAAGGAGAGTGCTGGGATGCAAAGTATGTACATTTTAATTATCAATATATGGAGCCAAATTGCCCTTCATGAAGATTGTATCAACTTATAGACCCAATGGTACCATTAATACTTGCTGGTACTTCCTGTCGAGAAAAAATTGGCCACATCTAATTTTAAAATTGATCTCTTGTTATGTAACATTTGATTTTAATTTATTTTATACTGTAAATTTTCTTAATTTCCTGAAATATTGTTAACATTCTAGACTCTGTGCACGTGGAAAGAAAATGAGCTTCAAACTACAAAACAGAAGTGACAAGATATATACCTAAAGTATTCCTGAATAAAATTACTACCTCAAAAGCAGAATTCTCTAACTATCAGAGAATGTGCCTGAAGACTAGTGATTTCAAAGGGTTCATGCTGACCCAAGCCAGTTTTTTTTACATATTTGGAGTACTAATCCTCGATTTCATTAGAAATGCAATTTATTGCACAAATGAGCATAGTTTGTTAGAGAATAATTTTAATTTTTCACATTATACTGAAACTATATCATTGTAGGCTATGTAGATGTAACACATCCAATCATAATAAATTTTGATATGGTTAAAACACTGGTTTTTGTTGTTGTTGTTGTTTGCAAAACTTGAATGACTCTTCCCAGATAATATGCGTGCATTTCATTCTTAGCCTTTCATTTTCCCTTTGTGTGATTTGGTTAGAAAAGAGAGGCAAGTTGAACTCTAATTATTTCCACATCTATTGTTGTGAATTTTAATATATTTACAGACTAGTATAATTGTATACCACTTTTAAATTGAAAAGTATATTTTTTCTGAAGAAATCATACTCAAAATATGACAAGAAAATATGAGGCTCTCATAAACAAACTGTGATAAGTCATGTTTCAACCATAAACAGGAAAACCATGTCATCCCCTCCTTTAGTAAAGTATGCCACTTATTTCATGAGAAAAGTGACATAAAAAGCCCTTTTTAATATTATTTCAAATTCTTCTTTAGGTTTTCTCCAGCAGTGTTCTATTTGCAGCATTTTATCCATTCAAGCACTGAGATGGAACTTGATTTAGATGGCATGTATGCATATTTTGTTTTCTACTGTTCTTGAGAATTTTTTCCTATATGTATGCAAAGGCACAGCTATAGAGGTGTTAATGGATGTCTATTCCAACTAAGTCCTATATCAGCTTTCAATTAACTTTTCTTTTTTGTTTTATTTGCTTGTCCACATAGGAATATTATCTGTCCTGCCTATATTTGTATACGAGAGAGATATATATTTTACTATATTTTCTTACCAAAAATAATTCTTTTAAATTTTAGAAGATTCACCAGAGTTGTTATTAATATTTCAATTTGACAATTTATTTCTATTCTCTTTAGGAAAAAAATGAAAATATATAGGCGATCACTGCTCCTACATAAATAGCTGATTGATTTTCAGCTTCCCAGCTTAGTGACTTCAAAAGTAGAGAAAATGTTTAAGGTTTTTTTTATGCGAACATAGTGAAAGCATTTCTGTCATAAACTAACCATGCCTGGTTTTTGTCTGTCCACTTTTCATTACATTTCACCAGTGTCCTGGAAATTAATGCTGAGGCTATTCACCACAAAATAGCCAAAGTGGACTCCTTACCAGACCAGGCCTTGTTCATGTGCATCTCCTGGCCTGAGTTGGCCTTCCCTAATCACACTAAAGAGATTCATTAATGTCTTGTTTATTTGAATTGAAATAGTGATATTGACAAAAGTAACTTAAAACTCAGAGTACGCAAGTACAACAAGAACATGAGAAGCTGCAGCCCTCAACTCAAATTAACTCTTTATGCCAATTTTGTCTCAGTTTCTTTCTTTAGGTAGACAAACATCATTGACAAATCGGTTAAGATAATGTTATCAGTTCAAAGAATAATTAAGATTAATCATTGTACAAGGAAACCTGAAATTCTATGAAATTTTACAGCTCACATATAAAACAAATTTGATGGAAGTTTCTTTAAGTTTTCCTAAGGAAAAGACTAAGATTTTCTTGACATTACCAATAATGTAATGAGTAATAAAGCAGAGATACGTTTTCTTAAACTAATAATTTCTCTTTGCCAAATTTGCTATAGGAAAACCCGAATTCTTTTAATAAAAAACGAATACCATAAAATTGTTGTGAGATAGAGATATAATCAAAGATAAAGCAGCTAATGATTATAGAAAAGAATTGTAATATAAAAGTGTTTAAAGCATTTAATTAAAACAAATGCTAATTTTTGTTCTGCATTTTATGACTGTGGTGATGAAGATGGCTTTAACACATTTTTCTAAGCTTGACAAAGTTTAAACCAGACTTCTTTACTCTGGGCCTCTGATCTCTATTTACTTAGAGCATTTACTTTAGAAAACTTAGATTTTAAATTCTTTCTCTGCCCCTTTGAAATGCAAACTTTCTATATCTAGGAATGTCTTTCTCAGGGATCTGGGAGAAATTTCTTTGAAAGGCAATTATTTAAAAAAAAAAAAATATGGCTCTGTTTTCCAGTCTCCATGGGAGAATAAGAGCCTAACTTCATTAAGTAACAATTAACAAACTGATAAGGTTTGGCTGTGTTCCTACCCAAATCTTACCTTGAATTATAATAATTCCCATGTGTCAAGGGCAAGACTAGGTAGAGATAATCGAATCATGGGGGCAGTTTCCCCCAACTGTTCTCATGGTAGTGAATAAGTCTCACAAGATCTGATAGTTTTAAAAATGGGAGTTCCCCTGCACATGCCCTCTTGCCTGCTCCATGAAAGACATCCCTTTGCTCTTCCTTCATCTTCCGCCATGATTGTGAGGCCTTCCCAGTCGTGTGGAACTCTGAGCCCATTAAACCTCTTCCCTTTATAAATTACCTAGTCTCAAGTATGTCATTATTGCCACTATGAGAACAGACTAATACACAAACACAGATGGCCAATCATATTGACCAGCCTCCATCAATGTTCTGCAATACTTTTCCACTAGTTCAGCTCAGCATTTAAAAGTCCTCCTGCCTTTTGTTTCAACACAGTTGAGTTCAGTCTCTATTCCTTATTGCAATATTCTTGGCTCCTAGTGAAATAACCTTGAGTAAAGTCTTTCTTTCCACTTGTAACATATCCAGTGTAATTTTTCTTTAACAGTGGTGTTTATTAGTTTTCCAATAATGTATAATTTCTTGACTTTTTCTTCTCTTTCTAAATAAATGTTCACCTCTATATCTAATTTGTATTTATAAGTTTAATTTTGTTTTTTGTTAAGGATCACTAATCCAGTTTTATAAGCTCCAAATTCCACAAAACTGGATTAATCTTTCCTCTTGCTTTTCACCCTAATCTCAAGTATCTAAAAATGTATCAGTTTATCCTCAACACCCTGCCTTCATTCAACATGAACTCAAGGCTTGACAATATTTTCTTTACAGATTCACTCACCAAAGTACAACCAATACCTCAAGAACTGATTTCACCATCATTTTTGGAAAACTTTCTATGATCCTTCAGTAGGAATTTGCCTTTTTTCCTGTGTTTAATAGCATTGTTTGCAATCTTGTAATATAATTTATTATAGCCTGCCAACTATCAGAGCTATCTGTGTGCTTCCTCAAGCTTTTACAGTAGAGACTGTAAGTTTTTAGATTGCAGGGCATGTGTGTTATTAGTCTTTGTATCATCTTCATTAGCTAAAGCAGTAGACACAGAAATATATGTGGAATTAAATTGCTGCAACATGAATTTATTTGATTTAATTTAAAACCTGATTCTCATAAAAGAAATATTGAAAATTCTCCCAAGATAATAAGTTACTTGTAGAGGAAAAGTAATAATTGAGAAGAGAATATTCATGAAATCTTGTCATGTGTCTCAGGGAGATAACCTTCTTTAATGGGTCACAAATGAGCTCAAATTCTCCCTCTTCTCTTGAAGATATCCCTGACATTTTATAGCCAGAGTTAAACTTATCTCTTGGAATACTAAATTTATCTCTAACTATCTGACTTCCCTACTAAACTAGAAATTCTTGAGGTCATGGACAATGATCTTATTTGTCTCTTTGTCCTTGTTGCCTGGTTTAGAACTTTTTATCAACTGGGTGCTTGGTAATACTTATTAGAACAAAAGAAAGAAAAAAGGGAGGAAAGAAGAAATGGGAGAGGCAAAAAAGGAGTGAGAGAGAGAGAGATGACCCTATCGTAATCAGATTTATCCCCATGTTTATCTGATTCCAAAGTAATGATCTTTTTTTTAGGTTACAGCATCTCCCATCACAGGACCAAGAACCAGCTGCAGAGAAAACCTAGTTCTGACAAAAATTAAGACACACACACAGACACACACACACAAATATAAATGCCAACACCCTTGAAGACTATCATTTCCTTTTTCCATGTAAATTACACAGCAATCAGCATAAATAGATTGAATAAAAGATGTATAAGGAAGATGTTTTAAAAATCCAAAGAAGCTGTTCCTCCCACATCCCTCAATATGCATATACCATTCAAAGTGTTTTATTTTAAAGCTAAGAATACTTCTCTTTAGCCCGTGATACATGCTAGGGCAAACACAATTACCTACTCACAAATGGACTTGCAAACTCTCTCTTTTCTTGTTATCCCATTCATGTGTTCTTTTATATTTATTTTAATACAAATTTTCACTGAAAAATCACAGAATTATTTTATAAAATTTACAACATACAAATGAACAAAAAGAAAACTAAACCAGTCTAAATATTCAACAGAGAATCTTAGTCAAGATTCTGTTGCAGTGACTAAAGTGCTGGCAATAGAGACACAGAAAAATAGAATGCTGTTGCCTGCAAATTTATCATTTTCATATATTGCTAGCATATTATAATGTATTACAAATGAACAGTAAGATAAGAATCAAAGATGGATGTTTTAATCTTTGATAATAAAATTCCATAGACTGGGTGGCTTAAACAATAGCCATTTATTTTTCACAGTTTTGGAACCTAAAATGTCTAAGTTCAAGGTGCTGGCATATTCAATTTCTGGTGAGGCCCTCTTCCTGGTTTGCAGTTTGTTGCCTTATCACTATGTCCTCAAGGGGCACAGAGAGAGAGAGAGAGAGAGAGAGAGAGAGAGAGAGAGAGGAGAGAGCGTGCGCAAGCTCTAATCTTTCCTTTTCTTACAAAGACGCTAATCCCATCATGAGGACCCACTCTCATGACTCCATCTAAACCAAATTATCTTCCAAAGACCCTATGTACAAGTATCACTGCATCACTGCATTAGGAGTTAGGGCTGGAATTTAGGAATTTGAGGGAACACAAACATTCATCCATAGCAATAGCCCTGAGTTTACAGTGGTTGTTCCTTTTTAGAAACAGGAACAGATTTGAGGACAAATCCAGAGCTTTGTCTTTTTGCAATAGAGTATCTTATATTTGAGTTGCATATTATACATTCAAGTCCATTGGTGAAGTAAGCAGTTAGATATGTGAGTTAACATTTAAAGGTAAAAGAATCAAGGCTTGTCAGTTAAAATTGTGGAAAGTTGATTTGAAACAATATTTTGTAAGTGAAGCTGTTCAAATTTCAGAATTTGGTTTCTTAAGAAAACAGAGGGCTGGGCACAGTGGCTCACACCTGTAATGCCAGCACTTTGGGAGTCTGAGGAGGGAGGATTCCTTGATTCCAGGAATTTCAGGTTACAGTGAGCTATGGCCATGCCACTGCACTCCAGCCTAGGGATAGAGTGATATGCAGTCTCAAATAAGTAAGTAAGGGAAGACTATTATTTATTCAGTTGTTTTTTGGTAGCATTTTCACCTTACAATTCTTATTTTATAGCTCTAAAAACTTAAAAAAATAATAAAATGGATGGTTACTTTGAATGCTAATTCCCTCATTCTGGCGTTTCTGAAAAATTCTAGTTTAGATACTGAAAAAAAAAAAAAAAGAAGTGCATATATATTCAAGACAGTCACATGTAGCTGATTTTGCCAGAAGAGATTTGTTGACAAAAAGGACCAAACTTTGTAAAATCTTTGAAGAGAGATATTATGAACCAAATGTGAGTGACTATGACCTGAAGCACAGTGTTAAGAGGTCCAGATTACAGCTTGGTTTTGTACATTTTAGGGAGATATAAGACATCAATACATATGAGAAATACATTGGTTCATTCTGGAAAGGCAGGAAAATTTGAAGCAGGGGCTTACAGGTCATGGGTGGAGTCAAAGATTTTCTGATTGGTAATTGGTTGAAAGAGTTATTGTATAAAAACTTGGGATTAGTAGAAAGGAATGTCTGGGTTAAGATAAGGAGTTGTGGAGACCAAGGTTCTTATTACAGAGATGAAGTCTCATAGGCGGCTGCCTTTAGAGATAATAGATGGGAAGTGTTTCTTATTCAGAACTTTAAAAGTTGCTAGACTCTCAGTTATCTCTTTAGGATTCGGAGGGCCTGGAAAAATAAAGATCTAGTTGTGTTAATAGAGAATTTTTACAGATGCAAATTTTCCCCCACAAAAGATGGCTGTGCAGAATCATTTCAAAATATGGCAAAGAAAACTATTTCAGGGTAAAATATTTTAATTTCCTTTTTTATCTGTCATGTGATGTTATGCCAGAATCACATTGAAAAGTAAGCCACATTATATAGTGTTAAATAAAACCCATTTGATGAGATTTTATGGTTTGTAGAGCATGACTCCCCAAGCCCCTTAGGAATTTGGGCAAGAAAAATAAAAAGTCAGATTTTAGCCCTCAAGTTACTTTTTCTCTTGGTTCCGGAACACACCTTTTATGTTTATGGAATAATTAGCTTTCAGTAAGTTATACATTGTTCCATGTGAGAAAAAAAGATATCAGATTAAATTGTACTGAGTCACTGAGCAATTTGAGATTACATACTTATGTTAATCTCCAAGTAATGATTTACCAGTTGTTATGGACGAGACAATGGACTAGACATTCAGGTGCTTTGGGGAATTAAAAAATAATCCTAAATTATACTAGTTATCTCCTTCTCCCTAGTCTATTAGAAAGACTGACATATATATATATATATATATATATAATATTTCACATATATTTAAATAAACTGAAATATATGTGTGTGTGTACACAACCCCATAAAAAGATAAATTTGATGGAGAGAATAGTTAAGTTCTATAATGGGTCTGAAGAGAAAGGCTACATTTTGTTAAACCAACATTCATTGGCAGGTATTAGCTTGGCAAGGCATCAGGTCTACAAATTAATGTTAATATCGTATACTGATTGCACATCCTATGGCTAATTAAGCCTCATAAAATTGTCAAAATATATACTTCAGAGTGACCATTACTGTAGTATAAAGACATTTGTACAAAAAAGTGTTTTTTCCCTTTTTGATCTCTTGACTGCCCGTAATCTGGAATTATTTGATGATGTAATAGCCCAGTGTCTGTGATTTCTGAATTGATTACTGAGGAAAAAAATCTATGGTGAGAGCATGCGTATCAAACTGAAAGAACAGCCTGCTGATTACACAGAAGAACATTGCTATTTACATGCAAATATCTTTGTAATCAGCAGTGATAGGAAAGAAAATGTATGAGAATCTAAAACACTTAAGATTATAAGTGTTCCAACTTTCCCTAGGCGCCTACCTCAAAAAATGTTTTCTTATGAGAAGTGTTTCCAATGAGAAAGTTTAGTTCATTTAACAGAATCATAGCCATATCTCGTTTGAAACATAGGATATTAATGGGTCTTATCTCTTCTCTCTCATTCTTCTAATTTCTTTCTCAGTTTTGTTCTTACAATTCTGGGTTATCTTAAGCTAGATATCCTCTAGTCAATATTTTAGTCTTTGTTCAACAGCTTTTTTAGAAATGAATGCTTAAAGCCTTACTTTTGTTCTTTTTAAAAGGGAGATAATACTGACTGCAGAAGGTATTTTTAGGTTTAATTAAAACAATGTATACCTTAGTAGTTATCTGAGTGCTTGGGGTATCACTTAAGTACTCATAATTGGTGGCTTGTTTTCATGTCATGTGTTTGTTTGTTTGCTTTTTGATAAGCCTGAAATGAGTTTCCAATTCATGTGGCCGTAAGCATATCTCTGAGGAAATATTTTTTATGCACATGATTTTATAGGAGGTGAAGTACAATAGGCAATAAGCTACAATGTTTGCATAACTGTAGGACAACAATATTGGAGGTTCATGATGGAAGGGATTTCTTACAAGTAATACTATTCTACACACAAAAATGTCAGTTGATTATATTCCTAGTTTCAGGACTGAAATCCTGAGAAAAGATTGAAATGATCGTACTTGTACTTGGGAAACTGTTAAGGGTTAAAGTTTTTTGTTGTTGTTGTTGCCAAATGACATTACACACGGCCATTATTCTAAATTCGTGTGATCCAAGGTAACACAAGATATATGTATATATGTATATATATGTGTTATATGTATACATATATGTATATATGTGTATATATACACATATATAATATATAATGTATTATATATTGTATATATATGTGTATGTATACATGTATGTATATATACTATGTATATATGTGTATGTATATGTATATATATTGGGTATGTATATATATGTATGTATATATGTGTATGTATATATATGTATGTATATATGTGTATGTATATATATTGTGTATATATATGTGCATGTATATATTGTGTATATATATGTGTATATATGTATGTACATATGCATATGCATATATATTGTGTATATATAGTGTATGTATATTGTGTATATATGTGTATGTATAATATATATTGTGTATATGTGTATGTATATATATGTATATATATTGTGTATGTATATATGTGTATATGTGTATGTATATATTGTGCATATATATATGTGTATGTATAATATATATACATACACATATATATATTGCCTATTTGAGGTATGAACAACAATACACTAAAGTAGATTAGAAAAGCTAAGAGTTTTAATTGAAGTGACTGTCACAGTGTTATAATACTTGGCAGTAGGACAGCAGTTCTCAAAGGCAGTTCATGGTCAGATTCCAGGAGTCTTTGGAGTAAAAGATATTTTCAAAATAGTAGTAGGTACAACAAATACTGCTGTCAGCCAGATGCTTACATGCAAAAATATAAATTTGGGCACTTACCTCATACTGTACATTAAGCTCAACTTAGAGCATAATGCTAAAGGCAAGAGCCAAAACTGTAAAATTCTTAGAAGAAAATAAAGTAGTCAACCTGAATAAACTTGGGTTAGAGCATGATATCTTGGCTGTAAACCAAAAGCATAAATAATAATACAGAAGATTTTTAAGTTGAACTTAAAATTTTTGAAAGTTATACTTCAAAGGACATCATTATAAAAGTAAAAAGACTACACAGAGACAGAAAAAAAAATGTTGGTCCAGCCAAGTTAATACATAAAATTAACAATCATTACATATACCCAGAGTGTATAAATAACCCTTACAACTCAAAAATAAAAACGTAAATAACCCAGTTTAAAAAAAGACACAGAGTTTGAATAGTCATTTCTCTAGAGAAGATATATGAATAGATAACAAGATATGAAATAATGCTCAACATCTTTAGGAATTATGGAAACACAAATCAAAATCATAAGATACCACTTCATACACTGTCTAAAATAAAAAAGACAAACAATAACAAGTGTTGGTGAAAACATGGATAAATTGGAACCTTTATACATTCTCTGGTAGGAATATAAAATAGTATATTTGCTGAGGAAATCAGTTTGGCAATTCCTGAAAATATTAAACATAGATTACCACTGACCTGATAATTCCACTCCTGGATATCTTAGAGAAATGAAAATATTGTGTACAAACAAAATTTTTTTTTTTTTGAGACAAAGTCTTGCTCTGTTGCCCAGGCTGGAGTGCAGTGGCATGATCTCAGCTCACTGAAACCTCCGCCTCCTGGGTTCAAGCAATTCTCTGGCCTCAGCCTCCCAAGTAGCTTGAATTACAGGTGCCCACCACCACACCCAGCTGATTTTTGTATTTTTAGTAGAGACGGAATTTCACCATGTTGGCCAGGCTCATCTCAAACCTCTGACCTCATGACCTGCAGAGTTATTCACAATAGACAAAAGTAGAAAAACCCATCAACCAACATTAGTCCATCAACTAATAAATAGATAGATGTCATCTATTCACATGATAAAATGTTTGGCAAAAAAAAAAAAAAAGGACTGGCACATGCCACAATGTGGAGGAACCTCTAAAACAGTATGATAAATAAAAGAAGCAGGTCATAAAAGGCCACATATTGTATGTTAGTATTTATATAAAATGTCCAGAATAGGCAAATCTATACAGACAGAAAGAAAATTAGTTGTTGCAGGTTGCTGTGGGAGGGAAATGGGGAATGACAGATAATGGGTATAGAGCTTCTATTTACATTGATGAGAATGTTCTGAAATTCGATTATGGTAATTATTGTATAATTTAGTAAATATGCTAAAAAAACACTGAATTTCATACTTTAAACAGGTAAATGTGGTATGTAAATTATATCTCAATAAAGCTAAGATAATACTAAGGTGTCATTTGACTTTTTTTATCTCTTAACAAGAGTACAGTGGATATTTCCAGAGGCTACATGAGATATCACTGCAGATTAATATAAGGTCAGATATAAAAATTCTAATGTCTCCTTCTAAACCAAATAATAAAGAGATTTGCAAAAGGATAAAATAGTGCTTTAGAAAATGTAAAGCAATGTCTTGAAAAATATATTTATTTTTCATAAAAATGTATTACTTTTTGTTAACATATATGTAAGTTTATTATGTTTAAATGAATTAATAAATATTTGTTAAATGTTCTGAGTATTCATTTCTAATACAGTAAATATATAAAGATGTTATTTACATAAACAAAAGCTCTTTGGTGTCTTCAATGTTTTTAAAAATGTAAAGTTACTCTGAAGGCAAAATATCTGAAAACTGTGAAAATTGGCTAATAAAGAAACAAATTAATGGTTGTAATAGATAGTATAAGAGTGTGTCACCTTTCTATTTCATATACTGTGGCTGGAAGATGAATATAAATTGTACTGTAAGAAAATCCTCTTTTTCATATATTATGATGCATGAATGTTACAATGAAACTTTCTGATGATTACAGAAACATGAAAATAGAAAAGGGAAAATTATTTTTAGTGTAGTATAGTTTGTATTGTTTTGACTCACTAAATGATCATAAAGGCAATGGAGCAAAGAGATTGCTATTTTTTCAGACATGTTTCTCTCTGCAAAATCTCTCCATGAAATAATTAATGATAATAAAGTAGTTTGAAAGTGAATATATGGTATAGCTGTCTTTTGTGATCAAAGACAGCTCTGCTTATGAACATAGCAAAGAGCATATTTCAAGGACAGTAACTCTAGCTAAGAGGAGAGATGTTTTCTGAGTAACTTTGAATATTAAGTTTAGTCCAAAAAACATCCAACTAGGAAATAAATACTCAGGAATACATGCATACCTTAGGTGAAAATACACAGCAGAGGAAAGACACTATATGATGGTTCTTAGTATCTGTTGCTTCTTTTAAATTATACAATTCTAGGCAAATTCTAATAAAACTCTGATGAAATTTCAGATCTAGGCTTGACTCTGCCACTTAAAAAAAAAAAACTGATTTAAACTTATTATACCATTTTCCAACCTGTGAATTCATAAAAATAATGCAAATCTCATAAGAATTCTGGAAGACTTAAACAAAAACTGGAGTTCAACAAAATATTTAGCTTTTTCCATGGCCACTTTGTATTACATAGATAGGGCAATCAAGGCATTAAAGAATAGCAACTTGCCTAAGATAATACAAGCACCAGTAATAGGTGCCAGCACAGTTATTAGTTCAAATGCCCTGACCTGTTTTACAACACTCCACTTTATTTGAGAAGTGAAAAGAACTGCACAAATATAAGCTATTCTGATTACAAAAGTAAAATAAAATTAAAAGGTACTTTTTGTTGAATTTAAGAATCATAAAATTATGTGACTAGAAAGGTCTCCTAATGGCTGTTTCAGGAGTGTACTCAGATCAACTCCAACAGTTATCGTCTGCCTGTTTTCAATGAAAAAATTCAAATTCCAGTATTTAACAACTTGCCATAATATTTTTATTTTTATTTTTATTTTTACTTTTCTCAATGAAAATTGAGATTGCTTCTACCAAGGCTATAGTATTCACAAACAACACTTACTTGGACTTGAGGAGCCCAATTCAGTCCTTTCATTTTACAAAGTCACATAAGTTGGGATTAGTCTCTTTCTTATATTGTCCTAAGTCTCATTGTGCATGCAAGGTACAATAATATTCCTTATTTAATGAGGTAAAAATCTCAGTTTCAAGGACAAATGACTATTCTCCATCAAAAGTTAAAATATTCTGCATACCTTGTTTAGCCCAGTGGGACTGAATAGCAAGAGTGAGTTATGAAGGAAGGAAGGAAGGAAGGAAGGGATTGGGTGGGGGGGAGGGAGGGAGGGAGGAGTGCTTGATGATGGGAATGTGGACGTAAATGAAACATTGATGGAGCTGAAAATAGGTAGAAACACTGAAAGGCCTAACAACGAGTTTTACATGCCATGCCAATGTTTTTAACAAAGAAAAAGTTCAACTAGTTAATATTTTAAGGTGTTGTTATAAAATATTCTCAATTTTCCTATAAGTTGAAGATTTGTCAATTTTCAGTCTTCATTACCTCAAGGCAACAAGTATTTGGAGCTGAGTTGTGACTGTCATCTTTGACTGGAGTGACTTCTAAAAGTATAGTCTGCAGAACACTGGGTCTCTGATACCCTTTCAACATGTTCATGAGGTCAAAACTATTCTCATAGTTATACTAAGATGTCATTCACCTTTTTCCCTGAGTTGACATTTCCATTTATGGAACAACAGCAATAATGAGTAAAACTGCTGTCCTGTAAGGAGTCATCAAAGCAGTGGCCCAAACTGTACTAGTAGTTCTCTTCTTCATTGCTACACATTCATAATTTAAAAATACATATGGTTTCACTTTAAAATGTCCTTGATAAAGCATTAAAATGCTAATTTTATTAAAACTCATCTCTTGCTTGTGCATGTAATAGTCTTTGTAATAAAATGGGAAATATGTAGAAAGCAGCTCTGAAGCATACCACTCTATCATGTTTGTCTTGAAGAAAAGCACTATACAATTACTTGAGCTGCAAGCTGACTACCTGCTTTATTCGTGCAACGCTGCTTTACTAGAAAGACTCACAGACAAACTGTGGTTATTGAGGCTGGGTATTTGGTAGACATTTTCTCTAAAGTGAACAACAAGAGTTTCATTTAAAAGAAAATATCTTACTGTGTTTGATAAGAAATGTGTCAATCTTTGGAATATCTGCATAACTCAGTATACCAATATTTTCCCAATGAACAAAACCTCAAGGAACAAAACCATGCCTGGGTATCTGCCCCATTCAAAGTACAAAATGTAATGGAATAGAGCATGAAGAGTTCATTGTTATGAATTTACATTCCAGAATGCGACAAACTTCTAAGAAGTTACTACTTGTCATAAATTGATGCTAATCTTCCCATAGTACAGAGGAAGACAAGTAAATTTTATATGTAAGTGTTATCATTTTCATTCATATTAAGAGTAGATTGAATAGGCAAGTGGACTTCACATGTAATCACTGTTCACCTGAAAGCCTATACAGGTATATCATCATTTCTAAGACAAAATTGATTATTTTTGGTAGATGTGATACTATATTTAATTAATAAATTAATTACATTGTTTATGAAGGGTATGTCAATTTATCTTAAAAGCTATAAAAAGAAGCATTGAACATATGTAGTACCATATAATTGATTTATTTACATATATTTTATATTTTGAAGTTATTTGATTAGAATCAATTACACCTGTTTTAGTATTCACATAAGAATTTGTAAAAGATATGCTATCCATTAACTTTCAGGTATATAACACTAATTATCTTAAAATTTCAATATGTAAAAGTGTTAAGATGTTTGTTAAATGCAGATTTTTAGGTTGGGTACAAAATGCATAGTCCTCTTTATGAGAATAACTGCAAGATAATTCTCATCTCACTTTTTTTGGAACAATAACAAAAATATGGCTTTATGAGCAGTTGGATTTAATTTTAGCATATTGGGCGTATTTAGTCATGTGGTTGATCTCTTTATATTTTTAAAGTTCACATCACCAGAAATGGGGCTTCTCAGTAGCAAATAGGTATAAAATTATGGAATGCAATACTATCTTCGTTTCTGAAACTACTTGATATTTATTTTATTGCTGTACTTTTGGGACATGCATTGTGTTATTTTTTAATTATACTTTGATTGCTTTTTCTTTTTTTGAGAAGGAGTCTTGCTCTGTCGCCCAGGCTGGAGTGCAGTGGTGCAATCTCAGCTCACTGCAAGCTCTGCCTCCCGGGTTCGTGCCATTCTCCTGCCTTGGCCTCCCGAGTAGCTGGGACTACAGGCTCCTGTCACCACGCCCAGCTAATTTTTTTTTGTATTTTTTTTAGTAGAGATGGGGTTTCACTGTGTTAGCCAGCATGGTCTTGATCTCCTGACCTCATGATCCGCCCACATCGGCCTCCCAAAGTGCTGGGATTACAGGCGTGAGCCACCGCGCCCAGCCGATTGCATTTTTAATTATACAGGTTACATAAAAGTCCATTTTCATTGTAAAGAGAATAGAAAGGTATATGTTTGAAAGAGGGAAACTTCCATTTACCCCACACTCCAATTTTCTTTCAAAATATCTAAGTATGTTACATTCAAATATTTTTGTTATTAATCTTTGTTTTTTAAGTATTAAAAAGTGAAGTTTCCAACTTTTTAGAAGTGATTTAGATACATTTATTTCAAAAAGTATGTAAAATTTAAAATTTAGAAGTATAAAAATAAGATATAATCACAAATTTTCACTACCACAATTATTATTTTTAATAGTTACTGTCCATTCTTCTAGTAATTTTCTTATTAACAGTCTGTTGTATAAATGAGCCCATGCATGCTATCTTTCTTATGTATGAAAACAAAGTACTATTTGAAAACCTATTCATATACACATACAGTCAGATTTCTCAACACACCCACTCTGGTGTGTTTCATAAAAGCCACCTCATTCATGAGTTTGTGCTGAATTCTTCAAGCCCAAGTAATACACTGCCTCACATCTATTAATTTATGTTAATATTTAATGTTTAATATGGTTTTTCATTGGTATAGGGAAACACTCTCTGGTTTATATTTTAATGCTACTTTATTTTTTAGAGACGTAACCATGTTAATATATTTAATTTATTTCTTTTATTCTCAATAGTACATGTATACCATTCCTTTACTAATGGAAATTTTGAGTTATTACTAACTTTTGTAGTTTCAAACTATGCTTAATAAACACGGTTGTTCAGATTCTTGATCCAAAGGATTTTTTATACTTTACTAGAAATTAAGATCCTGGATTATAAGGCAGACAAATTTTTTATTAAATTACATACAGCTGAACTATAATGAAATATAACATCATGTGTTTTATCCAAGTACTATTTGAAGAACAGAGTTTCTAATCATTTTCCTGCTGCATGGAAACATTTGCTACTGTTGGACATATTACCTCTAATAGCAGGTAATGGGTAAAGAAAACATACATTGTTATTTTCATTTGTACTTCTGTATTTTCTCAGGTCACTAACAAAATTACATTGTCTTGTTCACTAAAAAGATGTTTTACTTTTATTTCTTTTCTTTTCTTTTTTCCTTTTTTCTTCTTTTTTCTTTTTTTCTTTTTTTTCGACAGAGTCTCATTCTGTTGTCCAGGCTGGAAGGCAGTGGCACAATCATAGCTGCTCACTATGGCTTCAAACTACTGGGCTCAAGCTTTCCTCCTGCCTCAGCCTCCCACCTAGTAGCTGGTACTGCAGACATGCATCACAATGCCCAACTACTTTTATTTATTTATTTTTTTGTAGAGAGGAGTTCTTGCTATGTTGCCCAGGCTTGTCTACAACTTTTAGCCTAAAGCAAAATTCCCACCTTGGCCTCAAAAAGCACTGAGATTACAGACATAAACCACTGTGCCTGGCCTATAATGTTTATATTTTACTGTGAATATGTTGTTTGTTTCTTTACCAATTATTTGTGTATCTGTCTTACTGATTTGAACATTTAATTTTTTGCTTACTTCTTATAGTTATATATATTGGGCACCCTTTGCAAGACTATTACTAAAATGCTAATTTTGTTGATGATGTCTTTCTGATACAATGTATTTTTCATTTTCTAGCAAGCAAATTTATCAAAGGCTTGATATTTCCATCTTTTAAGAAAATCAAACCTACTCCAAGTTGACAATACTTTTTACATATTTTTAACTTTTTTTGAAAAAAGAAAATTAAAAATTATTGGAGCAATTTTACGCTTACAGCAAAAATGAGCACACGGCACAGAGATTTTCCACATATGCCCTCTGATTCTAAATGTAAACATTGCCTCTCCTATTATTAACATCCCCTAACAGAGTGGCACGTTTATTACAAGTGATGGATCTACTTTAAAACATCATTATCACCCAAAGTCCACAGTTTACATGTTTACATTAGGGTTCACTCTAGGTGCAACATATTCGTTTTTGTACATACATTGTTGTGTGCTTATAACTTTTAAATTCCTTTGGGTAAATACAAATGAATATAATTTCTGGATTATATGGTAAGAGTTTGTTAAGAAATTGTCAAATTTTATTCCAAAATGGCTGTACCATTTTACATTTCCACCATAAATGAGAGTTGTTTTTTCTTCACATCCTTGCCAGCATTGTTTTTGTCACTATTCTCAATTTTTGTCCTCTAATGGATGTGCAGTTATATCTCATTGTTGTTTTAATTTATATTTCCATAATACTAAGCATATTTCCTATGTCTGTTTGTCATCTGTAGATTTCTTTGCTGAGTTGTCTGTTAAGGTCTTGGCTATTTTTTTTAAAATCAGGTGGCTTACTTTCTTATGTTGCGTTTAAGTGTTCTTTTTGATAATAGCCCTTTATTATATATGTGTTTGCAATGTGTTTGTGTTTCCTCCCAGTTTGTGGCTTGTCTTCTCATTCTCTTCACTGTGTCTTTTATAGAACAGAAAATTTTAATTTTAATGAAGTCCAGTTTATCATCTTTCTATCATGGATTGTTCCTTTTGTGTCATTATTTAAAACATCATTGCCAAATTCAAGTCCATCTAGATTTTCTTATGTTATCTTGTAGGAGTTTTATAATCTTGCACTTTACATCTAGGTTTGTGATATATTATGAGTTAATTTTTGTGAAAGGTGTAAGGTCTGTATCATCTTTTTTTTTTTGGTATTGTAAAAAGGAAAGTAGAGGTTCCTCTTCAAAGACTTTCCTCCCAGTCTAATTGGGAATAAACAGTAGCTTCTCTTAGAAGCAAAATTTATTCAAAGACATGCGCTAACATTCTTAAATATCTGCTAGCTGTCATAAAGAAATCAATGTACTTTATGTTCTTAGCTCCCACAATTTAGCCTAAATATTTGCCCTGGCATGCTTATACCGGTTCTAGCAAGCATTAGGTCACAACCTGTTCCTATTCCTTATTTGAAGGTGTTTTTACCTTTCTCAGCATTCAACAAGTTACTTCCTCCTTCCTTTGTTCTCCTATGCCTTTGCCTCTTTTAAAAAGTTCTAAGTTGCTAGCCAATCAGCACAAATACAGAATGTGAGGTCCCGTTCCCGCCAATGGAAACCAGACACAGCAGTAAGGTGGATGCGTCAGGTTATAAATGACCCTGTCTCCTTTGTTCAGTGTACTTTCGTGGCAAAACTGCTGGTGAGTGTAACCTTTCTGCAGAAAGTAAAAATGGCCTTGCTGAGGAAATTAAATTTATGTTCAAATGCTATTTCTTTATGGCACCAGGGAACAAGCATCTCTAACAGTATGTATGCCCAGTTGTTTACAGCAACATTTGTTGAAAAAGACTATCTTTTTTCCATTGTACTGTGTTCATTGTCAAAGACCAGTTAGCTATATGTGTGTATCTATTTCTGTGGCTCTATTGTGTTCCCCTGATCTTTTTTTTATTCTTTTACCAATACCACAATGTCTTGATTACTGTAGCTGTCTAGTAAGTCTTAAAGTTAGATAGCATAAGTCCTCCAATTTTGTTCTTCTTCAATATTGTGCTGGCTTTTGGGTCTTTTGCGTCTCCATATAGACTTTAGATTAGTTGTATTTTTGGAGTGTTTCAGAAGAATTCATATTAATTATTATTTAAATGCTTTGTAGAATACATCATTGAAGCAAGTCAACAGATCCTGAACATTTTTATTTGGTGAGAGATTATTATTCACCGATTCATCTCTTTATTCATTATTAGTCTGCTCAGATTTTATATTTCTTCATGATTCAGTCTTGGTAGGTTGTATGTCTTGAGGAATTCATTTATTTCCTCTCAGTTATCTGATATGTTGGTATATAATTTTTATAGTAGTCGCTAATGATCCTTTGTATTCTTGTTTTATGTATTAATAGCCCCATAAGTTTTAGTATTTTGTGTTTTCAATTTCATGTGTCTCAAAATATTTTTAAAATTTTTCTTTTGATTTCTTCTTTGACCCTTTGGTTGTTCAAGAGCAGGTTTTTAAATTTCCACATATTTTAAATTTTCCAGTATTCCTCCTATTGTTGATTTCCAGTTTCATGTCATTATGGTTAGAAAAAGTGCTTGACATAATTTCAATCTTGATTGAAATGTGTTAAGACTTGTTTTATGGCCTAATATATTATCTGTCTTGGAGAATGTTCCATGTATATTTGAGAAGAATGTATATTCTGTTGCTGTTGAATGCAATATTCTCTACATATTTGTTAGGTCTCTTTGGTGTAAAATTTAGTCAAGTCCAAAGTTTCCTTATTGATTTTCTGCCTTGATGATTTATCCATTATTGAAAGTAGTGTATTGAAGTCCCCTACTATTATTATATGGTTGTCTATTTCTTCCTTCAATTTATTTTTGTGTGCTAATGTTGGATGTATATATATTTACAATTGTTAAATCCTCTTAAGAAATTGGGCACTTTATCATTATATAATGACTTTCATTGTCTTCTTTTTATTATATCAAAATCATCAGAAAGAATGAGATAGGAGCAATCAGGATGTTTCAAGTCGTGATTATGTATAGATGTTGATCATGTTTCTTGCATCTCCAATAATCATGTTATAATCTGTCCTCCAAAAGGAAGAACAGGAAAAGATTATCCCACCTGATGATCATTATTTTCTGTTAAATTTTTTTACTTAAAGTCTATTTTGTCTAAAATAAATATAGCTATCCTGCTATCTTTTGGTTTCCATTTGCATGAAATGTATTTTTCTATTCCTTCATTTTCAGCCTATGTGCTTTCTTAAAGTTGAAATGAGACTTTTGTAGGTAATGCATAGTTAGGGCTTATCATTTTTACACATTCGGCCTCTCTACTTTTTATAATAAAAATTTCTGTTAAAGTTAGAAGCCTTGGCCAGGCATGGGGGCTCACGCCTGTAATCTCAGCACTTTGGGAGGCCAAGGCGAGTGGATCACCTGAGGTCAGGAGTTCGAGACCAGCCTGGCCAACATGATGAAACCCCATCTCTACTAAAAATACAAAAAAAATTAGCCAGGAGTGGTGGCATGTGCCTGTAATCCCAGCTACTTGGGAGGCTGAGGCAGGAGAATTGCTTGAACCCCGGAGATGGAGGTTGTAGTGAGCCGAGATTGCGCCACTGCACTCCAGCCTGGGTGACAAGAGTGAAACTCCATCTCAAAAAAAAAAAAAAAAAAAGTTTGAAGCCTCCTGGCAATTTAAGAAAACACACTTGTGTTCATATAAAATACGGTTTAATCCAAAATGACAGAAAAGAAAATACATAAAAGTAAACCTACTCACATATTTCTTGTCATCTTCTTACTTCCCATTTTCAAAGTCTATGTTAAATTTATATTTACAAAGTTCTACAAAATCTAATGTTTTGATTAAATTGCTTAACTCAACATTTCACTATTAAAATTAATTTTTTATAGATAAGAAGTTACGATCATCATTTTGTCTATCCTGGCTGTTTTATAGAACCTCCAACAATTTGTCAAGTATGGTTCAGGTTTTTCAGCCCACAAACTGAGCAGGTTTCCAGAAGAAGTTTCTGCTAGTGGGTTTTTGCCCTGATAGGTTGTGAATCTCTGTATTTGCCTATTGTTCTCTCCAGTTTGGGGAGCAGCAGTTTGTCCCATAACCTCACTTGTCTTATAGATGCAAGAAAAATTATGGATTGTTTTCTGTTTATTTAGCTTCCTACTTGTTAGGATAGAGTGGCAACTACCAAGTGACTTACATGTGAGGCCCCTATATATTTTTAAAAGTATGTTTTTCAGGCTGGGTGCCAGTGGCCCATGCCTGTAATCCCAGCACTTTGGGAGATTGTGGCAGGTGGATCACTTGAGGTAAGGAGGTGAGACTAGCCTGGTCAACGTGTTGAAACCTCATCTCTACTAAAAATACAAAAATTAGCCCACTGTGGTGGAATGCACCTGTAATCCAAGTTACTTGGGAGGCTAAGACACGAGAATTGCTTGAGCCTGGGAGGGGGTGGTTGCAGTGAGTTGAGAGTGCACCACTGCACTCCAGCCTGGGCAACAGAACAAGATTCTGTCTCAAAAAACAAAAACAAAACAACAACAACAACAACAAAATATATATATATATAAATATATATGTAAAATATTGGTTTTTCAATTATACATCTTAAACAATAAGATTATATTTTAGAATAAACTAAGCAATAATGATTAAACTTCTTTTCCAAAAAATATACTGATATTTACCTTTCTCTATACAATTAATTTTAAATTTTATTTATTTCCAATGGATCTGAACCAACATACACTGTACATAAATGACTAATATGTTTACCACAGTATTTTGTTCTCTCACTTTATTTGCCTAATACCTTACAAAGAACAAAGAGTTATAATTAACATACATTTAAATATGTCTTAATAACTAATTAGTATCATTCACTTAACTGCCGATTTTATTTTATTTTTTGAAAACAAATACCATTATTGAGTCTTTATAATTTCATGGGAATTTTATACAGTAATTCATTCTTTAAGTTCAATGAATAACATAGTTATTTTATAGATTGCCTGAAGTTAGAGATAAATTTGAGAGACTTTAACATATTTGTAATACTGATGTTTTACCTACAGAAACAGGAAATCACTCATTATTTATCCATTTAGTCAAATATTCATTAATGTCTTTCAATAATAATTTATGTTTTGGTCAATAAAGGTCTTGTATACATTTGTTATTATGTTTAATTTACTCCTAAGCACCCGAAGATTGTTTGCTGTTTTCTTATTTCATTTTCTAATTACCAATCCTATATAGAAATTCTTCTGACTTTTAAACATTAAACTTGAATTCCAATCAGATAACTTCATTAAATGTCATTTTATAAATGTCACATCACTTTATCAAAAATAAGTATCCACATTTTCTGTTTATTATTCAACAAATAACCTTTTGATTTTTATTATGGGCATGACATGTGTTAGGTACTGAAAGAGACACACACATGAAATAGAGATATCTTTAGTGATGCCTCACTAGGGTGTTACATTCAGTTCAGCCTGAAGTTGACTCCTTACATATTTTAATTTCAGCCTAAAGGTTTCCCTGTACATAATAAACTGCAACCTAACTGGATGCATAAACAGACTATAACCTACTCTCATGTCAATCACCGAGTTTCAGCCAACTAAGGGTGGCCAACTGTTCAAACCATGTTCAAATAAAGCAAATACCAAACTATATCTGGCAGTTTCTGTACCTCCCTTCCATTTTTTGTATGTCACTTTCTTTTTTCTGTCCATAAATCTTCCACCACACAGCTCTGTTACTGGTGGAGGGTCTTGACTAGGAGTTGTCCAGGTTTTCAGTGTTTTTAACGAAGAATTGGACAAAATGCATGAAGAAAGAAACAAAAGATGAAGCAACAAAAGCACAGATTTATTGAAATAAAAGTACACTCCACAGAGTGGGAGTGGGCTTGAGTGAACTGCTCAAGAGCACTGGTTACAGAATTTTCTGGGGTTTAAATACCTTCTAGAAGTTTCCCATTGGTTATTTGGTTATACCCTAAGTAAATGAAGGAGCGGCCAATGACCAGTCTGATTGGTTGCAGGAGGTGACCAATCAGAGCCTGAAGTAAAGTTACAAAGTTACACCCTATGCACATGAAGACTGGTTGTAGGAGTGGACCAATCAGACATACTTTCCATTTTTCATCTGAGAGGCAGTGGAAAGGGGTGGGGGTTGCAAAGACAGTAGCTTCTGATATTTTTGTTCCTTGGGTATGGAGAGTTGGGGTTTTCCTTTTGATTCAGTTCGAGGAAGTCAGCATTAACTGGCCACATGTTCCCTGTCTCCAGACCCTATTCTACTGCCTCAGCTCCACTGGAGTCTCACTGAGCCTACTCTGGCTTTGGAGGTGCCAAGTCACCAAGAGAGATTCTCAGAGGCCCATTGCATCTATTTCTCTCTTGCATCAACTGGGCATCATGGTAAGTTCTCTAGTGGATTCCAAAGCTCTGCAGATTTGTGTTTTGAGCTCTCCAAGTTTGAGCAAATTTCTGATCTAACCTGGGTTTGGAAGTCATGACAGACTGGACTGTTTCCAGAATTGGATTGGTTCTGGTAATTAACCGGATTAGATTCAGTTTGAGGCCTCTTATGTCTGACTGGGTCAGATAGAAACTAGTAATAAATGGCAATATTGCAGGGGCCGTAAACTTCAGCTTTTGAAAATTTGCAGGGATTTTTGTGTTCTACCTGCTTTGTTTATTTTTCTTGTGTGCTTAGCTAGGGAAAGGTCATTTCCTAGGTTGATCAAGGGGATCTGAGAGCCAAAGCCAAGATTCAAGGCAAAAAATGGGATCCTTAATTTCTAAAGAGCTGAGTAATCTGCTTTCCAGCTATGCCTAAATTTACATATATAAACGTTAGGCTCGGGAAGTGGTACACACTTAGCGAAATAGCAAAATCTTACTGAAGATAATTTAAAATTACAGTGAAACATTCCAAATGAATAACACTGCACTTTAAGAAGTGCAGTGGAAAATGAGGACTCTCAAATTAGACTCATACAGGAATGAGTGCAGATAGATATGCAGAAGCTTCTAAAAAGATTTCAATACTTTTATTCCTTTTTAAAAGACTCTTTATAAAAAGAAAATAAAAAGCTTACATGACTAATTGATAAGAAAAATTAAATCTGCTAACCTATGGCTTAGTTACAATCTAGCCCTGAATGTGAAAGAATCCTACCCTGAAGTGTTTATAGAAGATACGCCCTCAGGTAAAGTAGGCTTGCTTCCTTTTCTGATCTATCCATGCTGATTTTAGGTATGGAGAATGCTTTCTTTGCCTTGTTCTTTAAAATTGACTCTACCCTAAACCCAGTAATTTCAGCTAAATTAAAATACCTAAAAAGTTAAAATGCATCCTTCTGGCATTTAACTGGCTATCTTGAAAATACTTTTGCAACAGAAATGTACAACTTTAAAGGAAATCAGTATTTGTATGGGCATCTCTGTTTATACACTTAAACCACCAGGAACTTTATGAGGAAGACAATGGCTTAAAGTTTACATAACAAACTTTGCCTTTGTTTAAATCTAAGTTCTGTTTCTTAGAGGAGTAAATTTTCTACACTGTTTCACCTGAGTCCCTTCTTTGTAGATGTAAATTTTGAGCTGTCTCTCTAACAATTGTTGATGGCATGAAACAAGTAATCAAGAAATTGATAGTGGGGAGAAACTTTGGAAACTGGCAAATGAAGAATCTTGTAACAAATCTATAAGATCTGCTTCTGTCTGTATGTCTGTTACGTCTATATGTTTATCTGTTATGTGTATGTGAAAATATTTAGTGGCCATTGTGAGACATGGAGACATATTGAAACCATCTTTGCAAAATTATGACTGAAACAGTTAAAGCGATCTAACTTAATCAACTCCATCTTGCTTCTAATCTCCAGGCTATCCTTGTTGATTCCTAGGTATAGGCTGAGTTAACTTTAGGAGAAACTTAGCTTCTTATAGGAATTCGGTGAGGGTGGTGGGAAAAATTGTAGAAAGATGCAAACTTTCTTGGAAGGGTGGAAGGTTTTACAAAAGCATTGTGAAAGGGCTATGGCTGAAGGCAGTCTGATCCTCTTACCTTGAGCTAATAGTAAAAAGCAAATAACAAGGGAATGTAGGGGAGTTTATCTAAATAGCTTATTTACTCATGTGGTCCTAAGACCGACCTTTGATCATCAGCAGGCACATGACTGCTCTCTACTCGGGGCAATGTTAATTACCCTCTAGGGTGTTTACTCTACACATTTGTCATTTAACCTGTACTAAATAAATGCGAACTTTGCCAGCTTATTGAGGCCACTGCGGACTCTGGCAGCAGAGCCCGTTAGCTGTGCTGACAGGCAAAATATCTGTGTCAATGTATGTCTTTCATCTGCCGCTTGGTCAGGGTCTGTAGGTCAGACTTGGCAGTTTATAGTTTATATTTTAAACAAAGACAGTAACAGCTGTTTCCCAAAGCAGACCTCCTCCTTCTTGCCTGGAAACTAGATTGCCTTCATAGGACTAACAGTAGCCGCAAGATTAGAAATTATGATTTAGGAGTCATATAGCTGGAGGCTAGAAGATTCTGACTCTCCCTAAACTGCTCCTAAGATTAGTGCTTGAGATATTTTGCAGCCCCTGCACTTGTTAGATCAGCTGGTACCACCCAGATCAATAAGCTGGCTCTTCTGATCTTCTGGCCCCCACCCAGGAACTGACTCAGCTTGAGAAGACAGCTTTGACTCCCTATGATTTCATCCCTGACCAATCAGCATTCCTGACTCACTGGCTTCCCCCCATCCACCAGGTTATCCTTAAAAACTCTGCTCCCTGAATGCTTGAGGAGACTGATTTGAGTAATAATAAAGCTCCGGTCTCCCACACAGCCAGCTCTGTGTGAATTACCCTTTCTCTGTTGCAATTACTCTGTCTTGATGAATTGGCTCTGTCTAGTCAGTGGGCAAGATGAACCACTTGGGCAGTTACAATGTCCTCAGTGCCTAGACAAGCAGCTGCAATGCAGAATCAAGCCAAGTATGGCCCCTTCTTCCATGCCTCAGCGTTGCCTCCTGGCTATTTTAGGAGGGGTTGAATCTTCCAGGCATAGTCTTCACAGCTCTGTCTTTGAGGTCCTGAGCTCTGCAACTGATATGTAAATTCAGGACTCAGATAGGCCCTGACCTTCACTGGTATCTGGGATGCCACATGGCCACCTGAGACCCAGGATTACTGAAAATGACATTGGGGAAGGTACTTGTGTCATAGTTTCAAAGTTATTTTTAGTAATTCAAAATCTTAAAGTCATGTTATGGTAAATAATAAAATATCTGTTATGGTAAATAATAAAAATATCTGAGTCATTTGTAAAATACTAAATCATCAATTATTTAAAACAAGTTGAAGTTTAATATCTTGGCAAATTATTTTTATATGGCATAGAAAAGCTAATTATATTTAGATCTGTTAATAAACAAAATTTTATAAAACATTTTTCTATAAAATTATAAAATGGTTTGTTCTACAAATCCTGATATATAACCATTCAAAATTACTTCCTAGGGATTTTTTTTTAATTAAGGTTACTAAGAGTTAATGTAGTTAATATGTATAATTAAAACTATTAGATATAAAAAAATCTTTATAGAGAGTATGCAAACAAAAACAAGATATACTTTTGATTAGAAAAGTTGTAAAGGCCGAAAAATGTGTGTTTGTTAAAAATTTTTATCTAATTTGAAGCTAAAGGTTGTTTCAGATAGAAAAAATAAAAAGTATTTAAGTAAAACCAAAACATAAAAAGTTGAAAAATTTTAAATTATAAGATATTACAAAAGGCATAAACCTTTTGTATTATCGTAAGATAATCTGGTATGGCCAAAATTAATAGAGATTTAATTAATTTACTTACACAGTTTTACTAAAATTGACTTTATTGATTATATATAAATACAAAAGTAACATGTATTTTTCTCTGTTGAACAAAAATTACATGTAGTGTTAACAAGTGTGAGTAAAATACTTCTGTTCACCTTTTGAGTAAATTGTAAACAATAAAAAAAGAGTAAAGATAGAAAAAGAGGCAGATTCTGTCTCATTTTAGCTGTCTCAGTATTTTAGAATATTGAGAAAACTGAGTCACCTATTAAAGCATGAAGATTTTTGTTTTTAAAAATCTTTTAACACTTTGGCAAAATGAATCACTATTATTTTATAGTGACCTGTGATTCTACTTTGATTAAGTGTTTAAACCTTTTGTTGTGGTCTTTCTGCTCCTTAGCTTAGCTAGGTCTGAGTTCTTATCTCACAACCAGGAAGACTTAGGTGCACAGACCCTGGAGAGTGAGTGGAGTAAAAATTATTCAGCAAGATGGAAGCTCTCAGCAAAGAGGGAGTGTGGGGTGTGGTTCCCCTACCCAAAGGTGAGAAAGTCTCCTGCGTGGCTGGGTCCAGGGCCTTTTACGTACTCAGAATAGGGAGTTGCTGATTGGTTTGTGAGTATTCAAAAAAAGGTTAAAGCAAAGATACCACTTAAAGGTGGGCACAACAGTATAGAACACCAATTAGGAAAGGGTAGGTATACTTTAAATAAATGAAGGATGGGTATCAATCAGAGGAAACCACACCAAACAGTAAGAGAAGTTCTCAATTCAGTCTGAGGGTTTAAGTTTTAGCTTGGCTTTCAGGCTTTAAACTGTCTTCAGCTTGGAGGTGGGGTTTCACTAGGGATCCTTCCCTATCTGCTTGGGCATTTGGCTTCCTCCTGCCGCTCTCACTTTGACATATTTGAGAGACTTCCAAAAATCAAATTTCAACCTAAAAAGTAGGTCTTTTTTTCAACTCTAACTTTGGAATGCTACAGAGGGCCCCTGAAGCATCCAAAAGAGAGATAAAAAGTATTATTTGATATGTTAAATTATATGAAATGCATTGCCAAATAATAAGTGATGTTTAATCTTCTTTGAATTATATTTTATTAAACATGTTATTCATATATGTTCAAAAATTATATGGGATTCCTAAAATTTTGATATGTTTGTATATGCACTATCAGTCACAATTATGGTTATTATGTTAAATTATTATAGGCCATAGAAATAACTAAATTTTCTTACGAATTGTACCTTTAACTATGCCCATTTAAAGTCATTTCCACAGTTGATTGCTTAATTTTGATGCAATTTCTGAAAACTTCACAAGCAAGCAAAATCCTAGAATATTGTATCTTTAAGGAGGTTTATGAAAGGATGAAAAAGATTCTGGAAAGCACTCTTGTGTAAAGTTTTTGATAACTTTAGGATCATATCATTTAGACTTGGTAAGGATTCCCAGAACACCAATAAAAGGATAGACTGGTTTATAAAACTGGTAATCCAAGTGGTATAAGAATTAATTGAATGCCAAGAAAATACTTTGTCACATTTTCATGTTAAATCAGCCAGTACCAAAATTGTTAAGATGGGCAATTTGAATGAATTCAATGTTCCAAGTCAAATTATCTATGATAACCCATCTAAAAAAACAATGCTATGCACCTAAATTAGAAAAAACAAAATTGATATTTAGGATGTATGCCCAGGGTTAAGCATGGATCCTTGGAGAGCCTTTATGGCCACCTGGTCGTTCCTGAGTCCTTAAATCTTCCATTACTAAAAGCTCTGAATTTCATGACTCATCATGGAATGGGGTAAAATAGTCCAAAATATATGTAAATATATATTTGTGGTGACTATTTTAAATTGCTAAAATAATTTATGACCAATGTTTGGTTTTACAATCCCGTAATACTGGGCCAACGGTCAAAACTTTAGGCATATTTTTGCTACCTGATGGCTCATTTAAATATTTACAAAGGAATTGTATTCAGTTGTCATTTCAATGCATATTTCTGTTTTTATAAAAGTTTTCTGATGCAAGAGAGCTGATGTTATAACAGTAGCTACAAGGTTATTAGGAAATATGTTTTCCTCATGGGACATTCCTGGAGAAATCTCCAGTGATAAAAGTACTTGTTTCACTAGACAAGTTGTAAAACAGTTAAGTAGGATATTATAAATACAATAGCATTAGGCAAAGCTAGCTGCATTGACTGTATTGCCTTGGTAAAAAGTATTGTAGATTAATGGTAATCAGATCCACTTCCAGGGGAAGATATAAGTTGATCTCAAATGAAATAGTCACTGGAAGGTCTATGCACCAAATAATAGAAACTCATGTATCTTCCACTCTTAAACTCTAATATAGCTAAAGGCTTTAATGCATCATGCCAAAGTGTATTTTAACCAGTGAAAGAAAGCTTTTTGTGGTCCACTAGCTGAAGATAATCAAACTTTTCACAATCTAGGACCTGGAGATTGGGTCTTCTGAGAATGACATTAGAGAAAGACCACCCTTGCCATCTATACTGCAGCAAAATGTCCCGGACCTTGGACCTTGGGTTTATAATCTCACAACTCAGAAGAGCTCTTCCAGACTCTTGAAATTATATCCCTATCAGAGACCTTAAGATAAAGCTAGCCAGGAACATTTCTCCCTAGAAGTAGATGACATCCCAGATGTGAACAGCCTTTCCCTAAGATCACAAGTCTTAACTTCTCTGCTATAATGAAACTCTTATCTCTCAATTTTTCCATTGCCTAGGCCTCTATGAATGTAGAACTGAATAAGGGGTCTCTTGTGTGCACTCATGGGGTATACTTTTATTTTTGGAGGATTTCACAACCAATTTTATACATGGATAAACTTACACCTTGACAGATGGAAGAGGAAAGGCCAATGAGGGCAAGAAATTTTAATAGTACCTTTGCTGCTTTATAATCAGTCAGAAAAAGAACATTGATCCACTCCTGTTAACCTACATCATAGGTGAAAAAGAACATTGCCAGGAGGCCTTCACTCTTCTGGATGGGCATAATTTTTTAGGTCTCTTTCTTTATGGTTTGGAATAATTGTGGCAGTGATTAGAAATTTATCCCTCATAATAGGCTCTATAGAAGATTCTACTGAAAAGGCTGTGGTAGCACAATGTATTTTAAGTTCTCTTGCTAAAGTTGTGCTATATAATAGAATTCCTGTAGATTACTTGCTGCCTAAACTGAAGTAGCTGTGTAGTTACTGATGCTTTTAGTTGCACATAGAGAAATACATCAGGTATTATAGAGATTCAGCTGTAAAGAGATAATGAACAAGCTGCTTGTTTAAAATGAGTTGACTCTTTAGCTCATTCTTTGATCCATTTGATTTTAGTTGGTTTTATTCACAGGGACTTTTGCTAAGGAGCATACTCCAAACTCTTGGTATTATCCTCTAGAAAATCATAATAGTAGTCTCCCTGGTGGGCTATATTCTTGCAAAAGTTTTAAATATTTGCATGAGGCCATCTCTAGGATGACAAATGGTATGTCTTTGACTGGAATGACAAAAACTCAAATAAACGTGTGACCACGAGGATACAGTAACTTCTGAATGACATACTGAGACTAGAAACCCCAAATAATGGTAACTGAGGGTGGCACTATGCCCTAAGTTTTTATTACACTGTCATCTAAGAGATAACCTGACCTGAAGGTGGGAATTTTTTAATAAAATTATGGGACGCCATTGTTTTGAACTGAGCTCATGTGCTAGGCCCAAACAGACAAGACCAAACCAAAGTCAAGTCATCCATGCTAAATGTGACATAATTAAACTGAAACTTTAAGGCAAAAGATAGATCCTAAAACAAACCAGCCTTTTTTCTCTCCAAAAAACAGTTGATTCTAGCACAGGAAGAACCCGTCTACTCTAACTCTTACAAAAAATAACTTGAAGTCTGTATTAGTCCATTTTCATGCTGCTGATAAAGACATATCCAAGACTGGGCAATTTACAAAAGAAAGAGGTTTAATGGACTTACAGTTCCACATGGTGGAGAACCCTCACAATCATGGAGGAAGGCAAGGAGGAGCAATCACGTCTTACATGGATGGCAGCAGGCAAAAAGAGAGCTTGTGAAGAAAAACTCCCATTTTTAAAATAATCATATCTCATGAGACCCATTCACTATCATGAAAGCAGCATGGGAAAGACCTACCCCCATGATTCAATCATCTCCCACTGGGTCCCTCCCACTACATATGGGAATTATGGGAGCTACAAGATGAGATTTGGATGGAGACACAAAGTCAAACCATATCAAACCATCTTTTTTCCACATTACAAAAACCATTGTCCTGTTATTTCCCAGTGGAATTTGACACCAAATAAGTACATTTATGATGGTAACAGAGTGACATCAATACCTAAAGTTTTGGTCTATCTCTTAAAATTGAGAAGATGACCAAAAGGGTAATTGTAAAATTAAGTTTAGCCTAAAGCTGCATCCTTACATATTTTAAGTTCAGCCTAAAGGTTTCTCTGTATATAGTAAACTGCCACCTAATTGGAAGCATAAAGAGAGTATAACCTATTCTTGTGTTAATCACAACATTTCAGCCAATTGAGGGTGACATACTTTTCAAACCGTGTTCAAATAAGGCCAAACTGTAACCAGTCTGGCTGTTTCTGTACCTCACTTCCATTTTCCATAAATCACTTTTCTTTTTTATGTCCATAAATCTTCTCCCACATGATTGCACCGGACTCTGAGCCTGCTCTGGCTCAGGAAGCTGCCTAATTCATAAATTGTTCTTTGTTCAATTAAACTCTACTAAATTTAACTCATCTGAGGTCCTTCTTTTAAAAGAGAGATAAGCAAGTCTGATGAAAGAAATTTCAACATATCCTCTGCTCTCCTACTTTCTCTTCTGTCAGAGGATGACTAAAACAGGACATTTGATTGAGATTGGCACTTGTTCCCCTGGAGACATAAAGAAGTAACTGATAATGATTCTTAAGAAGAATAGTCCCCTTGGTAGAGAAAGGGATCACCTTAGCACAGAAAGGAGGAGTCATTAGTTAAAGAGCAGGAAAGATACCTCTATAATCTGACAGCCTTTTCTTAATACTGATTGAACACTCTACACTATCTCTAAAACAACCTTGTTAAGTGAAAGGGCAGGCTGTCATCCTCCATTGGTGATAAAACTCAAGTTGGAAGAGAAAGTCAAATAAGAAGATCCAGATTTTATTTTAGCTGCGAATTAGAGACTTGATATAGGGGATTAGTGCACCTGGAGCTAAGAATGTTAACATTTATAAAGATTTCTCGACCCACACTTGGGAAGTTGTATGAGATGGGATGCAGAGATGGGGTTTGTAGAGATGAGTTTGTAAGCCAAAAATAAAATCCTAAGCCTCCCAACTGACTGGATCTCTGGACCAAAGGAACCAAAGAGAAACTGAAAAACTGAATGCCCAGCCATGATGGAAGGGGGGTCAAATACACCTTGCTATACTCCTTCCCTTTTTGCAGTTTAAGCACAAATGACCAGCATTAACTTTAAAAGAGATATTATAAGACTGACAGAAAAGACTCTCTGGCAATAAAATACTAAATTCAAACATGACTCCAGTATAGCGTCACATGCCAGATAGCTGACCCTGAAGGAAATCAAAATATTTTACCCCAAAATATGTTTGATATATTTTGAATGGCTCTGCAAAGCAATATTTTGTGGGAGAAATTTCCATCTGTAGGGAATCTCCATTAATATAGTCAGGCCTTTCCTGGATCTAGGAGATACTAAGAGTCTGATACCTTTCGAAAGGAGGCTTTTAGTATCTATTCTCTCTGTAGCCTCTTACCTGGAGGCTTCATCTTCATAACAAAAACCTTGGCCTCCACAACAACCCCTATCTTAACTCTTGCATTTCTTTCTACTGACTTCAAGTCTTTAGAGAAAGCTTAACTCTTTCAACCAATTGGCAATCAGAAAATCTTTGAATGTATCTGTGACCTGTAAACCCTTCCTCTTCAAGATATCTCACTTCTTCGGGCCAAACCGATGTATACCTTTCATGTATTAATTTATAATTTTACCTACAATTCTCATCTCTCTAAAATGTATAAAACTAATCTGTAACTGGACTGCCTCTGGTACACTTTTTCAGGACCTCTTGAGACATATCCTGGGGCAGGGTCACTCATATTGGCTCAGAATAAACCTCTTTAAATATTTCAAAGAGTTTGTTGTTGTTGTTGTTGTTTGTCTACATGGTGACAGAACTATTCTTGTGACAGGGATTTTTCACGATAAAGGATTTCTAAGGAGTGACTACATGCTTGCAATACAGTAAAACTGAATTTTGCAATTTTTTTTGTGTTTTATAGAATAGCTGTCCATTGAAAGGGGAGGACTGAGTTTCTGTAAACTCCTGTATTTTACAGCAAATTAGTAAATGCAAAATATTTGCAGAAATTTGTTATACAAACTTGAAATACAGAGATGAGGAATGTGGCTTCTGCCACCATGGTGCTCAGTTTTAGCATAACATGCAGAGTAGAGGTATTATAAAATATGTAATAGATATTACATATATATGTTCAGTGCTGTAATAAATAAAAACACACAGGGTGCTCTGATAACACAAAGGAGAGCATTCAGTCCAGTCTATAGCACTATGTTAGTTTGGGTTAATCCAGGAAACTACACATAATATGTAACCACTAGGCTCTGACTTGAATGGTTCATAGTATTTAGGTGCAGAGGGAGCAAATGCAATTTGCAGATGGAAGAAAGGAAAGTTCTATTAAGAGAAAGGCAATTGGTTATATTCTAAAAATACAAAATTTACAGCAATGATTTTATAAATTGTTTGTACTCAGTTTATTATAAAAAGGGTATATTCCTACTTAGTCCTCATTGAGTCTTTACACTTGGTCACACAATTGGGTATGGTGAACAAATATTTTATTTTAATAATGTTACTAGTCATATATTTTATGACCCTAAGCAGTTACATTAAAACACCATACTCTGTTTACACTCTTCATATTTATGGAATTCATGGCATATTTATTTGGAGATATGATTATCCTTTAAATAAATGATGCATATTATAGTTTTTGTGAATGGCTCTTGAAAGATTTCCTATTTTTGTATGTTTGTGTTCTACTAAATTCATCAACAAAGATATTTTAAAGCCTGTATCTCTGAGACATGATATAAGTGACTATAAAAAAATTATTCCAATGTCTTTATTACTACTTAAAATTTTATGCTTATAAAGTAATTACATGTCCCACTGTTTTGGTCCTTAGATTAATAAAATAAATTTTAACATGTCTAATTAAAAGAAGAAGAATTTTCTTTCAGTCTATATTTCTAATCTTCATAATTGATTTAAATTAATGAAAATGAAACACTGAAACCCAAAACAAATACCAAAATGAAACCTTAATCTTTATTTTATTTATGTTCCTTTAATTTCTGGAATCATGAACTTTAAAAATGGCCAGTTTGCTATATATATATATATATATTTTTTTTTTTTTTTTTGAGACAGCCTCTCACTCTGTTGCCCAGGCTGGAGTGCAGTGGCATGATCTCAGCTCACTATAAGCTCCGCCTCCCAGGTTCATGCCATTCTCCTGCCTCAGCCTCCCGAGTAGCTGGGACTACAGGCGCCTGCCACCACGCCCAGCTAATTTTTTGTATTTTTAGTGGAGATGGGGTTTCACCGTATTAGCCAGGATGGTCTCAATCTCCTGACTTCGTGATCCGCCCGCCTCGGCCTCCCAAAGTGCTGGGATTACAGGCGTGAGCCACAGCGCCCGGCCTATATAAATATTTTCAATATACGTTTATCCTGACATTTTTAAAAATATAAATTTCTGTTAGAGTAGAAGGCTTCTGACTATTTAAGGAAAACATCATTCTATTTATATAAAATATATTTTAATTGAAGGTTTAAGAAAAGGAAATACATAAAAGTAAACCTCACATATTTGCTGTCATCTTTCTTCCTATTGTCAGGCTGCATTAAATTTGTATTCACAAAGTTCTACAAGATCAATGTTTTGATATGTTTGTTCAACGTTTCACAATAAATGTGACTGATTTGATAGCAAATAAAATTGAATTTAAAATTGTGAACTGCCAGTCATCTCAAAGATTACTTGACCTTTTTATATTATTTTATAATATAGTTTAATAATGTTTAGACCTGTCTTCTGTTTCTTTTTTATTATGTATAGAGAGGTCTAAGTAAAATTTTTTTCTTTCCAGTTTATACTTTGCCTCATTATTTTTGAACTACTATTTTTTAAAGAAAACTGTCTCCAATTCCATCTTTAAAACAAAAAGGAACGATTGCATAAAAGTAGAATAGTAAAGATTTGTGATGGCCCCTTTTGATTTTAATGCTTTTTAGGAGACCATGAAGAGCTAAAGTTCATATGTTATGAATGCTTCAGACAATTGGGTTTTCAAAATATAGAACCAAAATGTTAAAGATATAACATCTTAAATCCACACTGATATTAACCCTTAAGACATATGGTGGCCCTTTGATTCTGGGTTTTATAGATCTTTGTACCAAAGATAATTTTGACATGGAAAGCTATATTGTAGTTGGTTACAAACTGTCCAGTCCCTGGCGTATAATAAACTGTTCTCTACCAGATAGAATGCATGTTTACAATACTCAATTAATACATCTGGCAGACTTTAATTGCATTAGCTTTGTCGCACCAGAGGTGGCATAACTTTCATGTGACATAATTAGGTTTGCTCAATTTAAACAGACACATTAATGCAGCTCAGCAAGGCTCAATTAAATCTGTTTCAAAGCAAAATCACAATGTGAGGCATTGTGGGTAATGTTATGCAAATTATCATATTGGCAGAGAAACTGAGTAAGGTTTCAACAGTGCCTATTGGCATAAAATGAATTTTTCCATTTGGAATATCAAGGCAAAAACAGTAAGATGTCTGTGTTGTAATTTCCCTTTTTCAGGGCTTATCAAAGTGGTGCAGCTGTTGACCTAGTCAAATAAATTGTTTTGTCACTTTGGTTTTCTTTAAGTAATATTTTAAAGTTTTCATGATAACCAAAGTATATATTGTTTCAAAATCTAAACACAATTTGTCTTCTTCTAGGCACCAGACATAATCAAAGATTAATCTTTATTAGTCCTCCATTTCCAATAGGGGTGTTGATTAGTAAGTGAGGTAATACAGATCTAACCTTATTTAGATACATTCAGTGACCATTCTCAATGGGTGGCAACTTTAATTTGTTTGTGTAAGTCTATGTGTAATACTGCTAGGCAGTTGAAGAAAATATTCTTACTCTAATTAAATATATGAATATTACTAAAATTATCCATCACATGCCAGGAATATTTGCAATGATAACATTTTAAATTGACTTCATAATTGAAATGTCTAATAAGAGGATTCTGATTTTATTAAGTGTTTGAATTTTTAATATGTTAAAAATATAATTTATATTACTGGAATTCTGGTGTGATTATAAGAAGTTATCAATTTTTATTTTCTCTGTATCATATGCACACATACAAACATATTTAAATAAATATATTAAAATGTATAAAACATTTATAAGTAAAATATGTATTAAGTATGTAAAATACATATTGCACAGTCTCTATCATATATGCATGCGTGTGTGGATTATAAATTAGTTATATGGAGGAAAATACGAAATCTTATCTACCCTCATTCCATTACATAGAAATAGCTCCCCATTTCCCCCTTTTAGCTCACTCAATAGGGAGATATGATCACATTATTACTCTTTTTTTCTGACTCATTTTGAAAAATATATTCAAAATTAAAAATTTCAAGGGCCTGTTAATGTTCATTTTAAATAATACTCAAACATTTATTAGGAATATTTCATAATGTTTATCTAACATCTATATTCTTGAATAATTATTATATAATTTTTCAATAAGGTAACATCAGTGCAGAGATGTGAGCAAATCTATACCATCTTCAGGTTAGCAGAAAAGATTCTTATAAATAAAGAAATCAACATGATACAAGAATCCTTACAGTGAGGATATGATAAACAGGAACCTACTGAATCATTTTATATTTTTTTGTTATGGTTTCATTGTAGAGTTTATAATTTTTTTAATGAAGGATGTTACAAGAAAATAAAGCTTTGAAAAATGACTCCTAGTACTATAGTATCATTTTGATTATTCACATAGAGCTTGTCCACCCACAGCCCATGAGCCACATGCATCGCAGGACAGCTTTGAATAAGGCCAAACACAAATTCATAAAATGTCTTAAAACATTATGAGTTTTGTTTGTTTGTTTGTTTTTTTTAGTTCATCGGCTATCGTTAATTAGTGTATTTTATGTGTGGCCTAAGACAATTCTTCCAATGTGGCCCAGGGATGTAAAAAGTTTAAACACTCCTGATTTACATAAAATTGGAACAGTGAACGAACTTAGACAATCATTGTTTCCAAAAGATAAAGAGGTAACAGAAAAAATGCTTTACACCAGAGGTTGTGATCTAATTTTCAATATTAAGGTCCAGAAAATTGATGCCTAATGATACTAATCAGCACTATTATTAATAATCTCAATGTATAAAATGCCAAAATTACTATGCTGATAAAGTAAATTGCTGCAATATACCTGAGGGAAGTTTTTACATGAGGAAACATAATAATGATAATAAAAATTAAAAATAACAGAAAGATGGCTAAGCGTTTCTTATTTTAATCTGCATAGAGTCATTATAAATATTTTGTCCCACCATTGAAACATAAGCTCTGCTCTAGCAAAATGCAACAGTTTATGTTAAGTTGTATAAAAACATTACAATCTTAGTGTTGTACTAAGTGTACTAGTACTTAGTGTTGTACTAAGTGTTGTACTTAGTGAATCAAACTGAGTCCATGTTCTCAACTAATTTATAGCGTGCATGTGGGATTTTAAAAGAAACTCTTAAATTTTGAGATAATTATAAATTCACTTGCAGTTGTAAGAAATAATAGAGGGATTTCATATACGTTCATTCAATTGTAATGTCTTATATAACTATAGTATAATATCAAATTAGGAAATTGACTTTACCTGAGTTTTCACCAGTTTTACATGCAACGTGTGAGTATGTGTGTGTATTTACTTCTATGCAATTTTAGAACATATGTAGATTCATATGACCACCATCATCACAGCTAAAATACAGAACAATTTCATAATATGTAGAGGCTATTTTTAGTAAGATCTTTTACATATTTTGTTTTTTAAACAATTTTGATAAACAGTTTCTAAAATATATTACTTGGGTCACTGTTTAAAGACAATACACACACAACATCACACAATTTTGATAACTTGGAATAAATATTATGAACACATATTTTTATAATATCATAAAACATTTATCCACCAGCTTTATACACAGATATTTTCTTACCCTTCAATAAATTTCATTTCCCCTGTGCTCATAGTCACTATTCCTAATTCAACATTTTCTTTAGTCTACCATTTGTATGCATTAAGGTAAACTGAAAAACCAAAACTTAAGTCACTGTTGACCTCAAGGGCGGTGTATATGGTTTTGGTGCAATGTTTGTATAAAAAAATATTTTTGTGCCACTGCACTCCAGCCTGGGTGACAGAGTGAGGCCCTGTCTCTATTAAAAATAATTTTTGATCACTACAATTACTTGTTGGGACAAGAAATTTCAATCTTTGGATTTCCTTTGCAATTTTGTAATACTTGGGAAAAACCTAACAAAGAGTCTCAAATTTTTAAAAGAAAATAGGCTGTAAAAACATTTTAAAACAGCGTGTGTTGTTCCCCTCCCTATGTCTATGTATTCACATTGTTCAGCTCCAACTTATAAGTGAGAACCTGTGGCATTGGTTTTCTGTTTCTGTGTTAGTTTGCTGAGGATAATGGCTTCCAGTTTCATCCATGTCCTTGCAAAGGACATTATCTCCTTCCTTTTTCTGGCTGCATAGTATTCCATGGTGTATATAGCTTATGCGAGCTGGGCTTCACACCTAGGTGATGGTTTTATAGATGAGGCAAATCACCATGGCACATATTTACCTGTGTAACAAACCTGTACATCATATACATGCAACCTGGAACTCAAAATAAACAAACAAATAAATAAATGAGAAAAATATTTAAAAACAGTTTGTACTTGAAGGACTAGGATAGACGAAGTGCAGGTTTTCTTTCATTTTTCTACAGTAATTTTAGTTATTATACATCCCTGCTTTATTGTATTTTTGAGTAATCATTTTATTAATTTATCTGTTAGCTCTTTATCGTGAAGTCTCTATGTGCCAAGTCGTAAGCTAGGTGCTTTGTACAGAATGTGTAATTATGTAGTGAAATAAACAGATATTAATATTTCCACAGTTATGGCTAGTGTCATAGATGGGTGCATAAGAGTGTACAATGAGTGTGTTAACTTGACCTTAAGATTGAAAGAAAGCTTCCCTGAAAAAGCTGTATCTATGTATGACTTGAATAATCAGCAGGCATGAACCAAGGGAAAAATAAGGAAAATACACTCAGACTTTGAGGTAGAAAGTAACAGACACACATTCAAGAGATGAAAAGAGCTCCTTTATATCAATACGGCAAAAGAATAAAATAGCAAGGTACTGTGTGAAAATCAATGCACATTTTGGAAGCATGTAAGAAGAAAATTGCCTCATACTTGAGTTTTACAGTGTTTAAAGCATTTACCCAGTCATATCTCATTTGAACCTACATATTCAATAGGTGGGCATACATTTATTGAGAACATACCATTTTACATTGTGTTAATCTGAGTAATATAACTCATGGAGAGTGTTCTCTTTGTTAGGTGAATGCAAATTAGGTTTCAACTTAAGCCATTTTAAACTCAATTACCAAGAATAGTTCAATTTCTGTTATTTCAAAGAAAAATACATCATAGTAGAAGCAAATATCCTCTAAGGATTTGTTTAGAGAGAATCCTCATTTAGTATCTTGAGATGTGCCAATTGTGGAAGCAACGGTGTGCAATGCATCTCCACTAAAGAATGCCTAAGACCACATTAATAGCCTCAAGGTAATTTATTATGTATAGGATCGCATAAAGCTCTCATCAGCATGGAGTTACTACTCAACAAATAAAAGACAGTAAGTTTTCAGCCTATTATTAAACTTAATTTGTGCTGATTTAAAATTTAATATTAATATTTTAAAAAATTGATTTTAAACTTTAGATAATTTAGATATTTCAAAACATTAATTTTAGTAGAAGAAAGTAATACATACAATTACATTGTTACTAAGCTTATCATTTACACAAAATTGTTTTAATAAGATATGAGGCAGCAGTATAATTTTCTTTAATTTCCAGAAATATATATCTTATTACCAAAGTTATTTTTTCTTAAATACTAGAAGTTCTTTAAAATAATTCTAAAGATCTTGCAAATGACTGAGATAAATAGATTGATTTGAATCATAGATATCATCTTGTTATAGTAGTCTGATAGTCATTTTTTTTTCCCTATAATCTTTGCTTTCTTTAAAAACACAAACATTTATTATTGGCTTTCTTGCATACATTACAATATTTTTAAATTATGCATACTTAGAAATGTATTGAACATTAATCGTCTCATCAGGAAAACAGAACTAGAAACCTATGTTCAAAATAATTGAATAGATTTTTACTTAAAAATAGGTTTTACATTAAAAGTATAAAAAATAATGACTTTCATTTTTTATTGACCAAGTTATTTAAATTGTTTTGAATATTTGGACATGTAAATTCATTATACTTTTCTAATAAAATAAATATTTAGTGCTTATTGGTGGAATTTATTTCTGTCAGAACATTTTAGTTAAAAATAAAATACATAAGGAGTTGATTTTAGAAACTACTTTAGGCCGGGCCCAGTGGGTGCATATATTAATACTTGCTATATCGGCAGGGTGCAGTAATCCTAGCACTTTGAGAGGTCAAGGCAGACAGATCACTTGAGGTTAAGAATTCAAGACCAGCCTGGCCAACAATGATGAAACCATGTCTATATTAAAAATACAATTGGAAAATACAGTTGGAGTGGCTGTGGAAATTTCTTATAATAAAACAACATTAAAGTTTGCTGTGTTGGTTGACTCCTTTTTTCATGAAAATTTCTCTGTAGCATGTGATGCTGTTTGATAGCATTTTACCTATAGCAGAACTTCTTTCAAAATCTGAGTCAATTCACTAAAACTCTGCTGCTATTTTATCAACTAAGTTTATTTAATATTTTAAATTCCTTGTTATAATTCCAATAACATTCCCATGTTCTTCATCAGGAGTAGATTCCACTTTATGAAACCACATTCTTAGTTCAATTACAAGATTCAAATCCTCATGTGTTAATGTTTTATCATGAGATTGTAACAATTCAGTCACATCTTCAGGCAGCCACACTAATTCTACTTCTCTTGGCATTTCACTGTATCTGAATTTACTTCTCTACTGAAGTCTTGAACCCCTCAGAGTCATTCATGAAGGTTGGATTCTATTTTGCATTCCCAACAGCAATGAATGGTGCTTCAATCCTCCTTGAAGGTTGAAACCGACTTCCTTCGAACTTCTGTTGATGTTGATATTTTGACCTCCTACCATGAATCATGAAGTTTCTTAATGGCAAATAGAATGGTGAATATTTTCCAGAAGGTTTTCAATTTACTTCACCCAGATCTATCAAAAGAATCACTATCTGTGGCAATTATAAGCTTACAAAATGTATTTCTTAATAAAATTTGAAAGTGAAAATTACTTCTCTATCCATGTGCTACAAAATGGACATTATGTTAGCAGGCATTAATACAATGTTTATCTTCTTGGACCCCTCCATTAGTGCTCTTGCATCACCAGGTACATTGTCAATGAGCAGTAATATTTTTAAATAAATCTTTCACTCTGAGCAGTAGGTCTCAATGATAGGCCTACAATATTCAGGAAACCATACAATAATTGCATGTGCTGTCATTCAGGCTTTGTTGATCCATTTATAGAGCACAAGCAGAGTATATTTTGCATAATTTTTAAGGACCCTAGAATTTTAAAAATGGTTAATGAGCACTGGCTTCAATTTAAAGCCATCAGCTACATTAGCTTATAACAAGAAAGTCACCATGTCCTTTGAATCTTTGAAGCTGGGTATTGACTTCTCCTCTTACCTGTAAAAGTTCTAGATGGCATCTTCCTTCAATAGAAGGCTGCTTCAACTACACTGAAAATTTTTTGTTTAGTGTAGTCATCTTCATCAATTAATGTAGATCTGAATAACTTGCTATAGCATCCACATCAGCACTTGCTGCTTCACCTTGCACTTTTCTGTTACAGAAACAGCTTCTTTCTTTCAACTTCATGAACCAACTTTAGCTAGCTTCCAACTTTTATTCTGCAGCTTCCTCACCTCTGTCAGCCTTCATAGAATTGAGGAGAGTTAGGGTATTGTTCTGGATTAGGCTTTGGCTTAAGGGAATATTGTAGCTGGTTTGATCCTTTATTCAGACCACTAAACCTTTCTCCATATCAGTAATAAAGCTGTTCCACTTTCCAGGATTCATGTGTTCACTGGAGTAGCACTTTTAATTTCCTTCGAGAACATTTTTGTTTTGTTTAATTTTGCATTCACAACTTGCCTAATTGGTGCAGGAGGCCTAGCTTTTGTCCTGTCTCAGCTTTCAACCTTCCTCCTTAGGCTTAATAATTTTATTTTTTTATTTAAGGTGAGAGATGTGTAATTGTTTCTTTCACTGGAACACCTGGGATCCTAATTTCAATATTGTTGTGCTTAGGGACTACAGAAGCTGAGAAGGGGAAGGTAGGGAAATAGTTGGTCAGTTGTGCAGTCAGAACACACACAACATTAATCAATTAAGTTTGCTGTCTTCTACAGGCATGGTTTGTAGTGTCCCAAAACAATTACAATAGTAACACTAAGCACTATTTGTAACACTTATCACAGAACAACCTAACAGATATAATAATAATGAAAATGTTTGAAAGATTGTGAGAATTATAAAAATGTGACACAGAAACATCAAGTGAACAGGCACAGTTGGAAAAATGGTGCCTATAGATTCGCTGGACACAGCGTTACCATAAACCTTCAATTTGTAAAAAACAAACAAACAAAAAAACCCACATTATCTGTAAAGTATAATAAAGTGAAACATAGTAAAATGGGGGTTTACTTGTATTTTAGATTAAGATTTTTGATTTCTTCCATTAGCCTTTTATTAGTTTTTCATATAGATATACTGTACATATTTTCATACATGTACACCTGCTTAACTTTTTGAGGCTATTATTCTTTTAATTTTCAAATTTCTATTGCTCATTGCTGGTATATAGCAAAACAACTGACTCTGTATATTAATCTTGTGTCCTGCAAGCTTGATATACATTTACTCTTGGTCATTACCAAAAGTTACTCCTGTAAATGTATATGAAGCTTGCAGGACACCAGCTTAATATACATTTACACCAATAAATCTTGGTAGTTTTCAGGTACCACCAAGAGTTCTTTCGTTGATTCTCGGGGATTTTCAAAATAGACAATCATATAATCTAAGACTAATTTATTTTTCTTCCAATTATGTATTTCTTTTCTTTTTTTTTTTTTTTTTTTGCCCTAAGACTCCCAGTAAGGAGTTGAATAGAAATGATGAGAGAAAACATTCTTGCTTGCTTTATTTCTGGTCTTAGGAGCAAAGTATTCATTCTCTCACTAGTTAAACCTAATATTACTTGTAGATTTTTGTAGGTGTTTTTTATGAAGTAGGAAATCGCCCCTATTTCTAGTTGACTGGCAGTTTTTGTCATGAAGGGGTATAAAATGTTTTTTGCTAGATGCACTTTATGTATCAATTTATGTTACAATATGGTTTTTACTCTTTATTCTACTTATGTGACAGATTACATTGATTGGTTTTTGAATTTTTATCCAGTTTTGCATACCTGAAAAAATCCCCACTTGTTCATGGTATATCTACATATATTTATATCTATCTATGATATATGTATGTATATATACATATACACACATACATTATTGGGCTTGATATACTATTATTTCTTAAGGATTTTTGCCTAAATAATTGTGAAAGATAGAATCTGTATTTCATTTATTTATTTATTTATTTGTATTAGAGCAATGCTGACCTCCCAGACTGAGTTAAAAAGTGTTTTCTGTACTATTATTTTCTTAAAAAAATTGTGGAGAAGTGAAATTTTTTTCTTTAATATTTGGTATATCTCACTATTGAAATATCTGAGCTGGTTATTTCTCTCTTTTTTTGGAAGCTTATTGACTACTAAATCTATTACTTGAATATAGGCTGATCCGCATTATCTATTTCTCCTTGTGTGAAATTTGATAGTTTGCACCTTTCAAGAAATTGGTCTATTTAGTTGGATTTTTCAAGTTTGTGAGCATATAATTGTTCATGGTATTCCTTTATAATCGTTTTAATGACTGTGGTATCAGTAGTAGATACCTGTCTTATATTTCAGATGTTGGTTGTTTGTGTCTTCTATTTCCTTGGTTTTCCTGCCCAGAGGGTTATCATTTTTTTTTGGTTTCTTAAATAAAATTGCTTTTGATTTCATTGATTATTTTTCTGTTGTTTTTCTATTTATAGCTTCATTGATTTCTGCTCTATTTTCATTTTTTATTCTTTCTTTTGGCTTAAAATATTCTTTCTCTAGTTTCCTAAAGGGTAAACATAGATAATTGATTTTAGATTCTTTTTTCTAACATAAGCAATTAATAGTCTAAATTTCCCTGTAAGCATTCCTTTTACTGACTTTTACATGTTTTGATAATTTATTCTTATTTTTACTTAGAAGAAAGTATTTTAAAGTTTTTCCTTAAGACTTCTTTGGTTCATGTACTATTTAAAAGTGTTTAGTCTCCAAATATAATGATTATCTAACGTTTTAAAAAATTTAGTTTAATTCCATTGTGGTCTGAGAACATTCTTCATATTATTTATGTTCTTTTACATTTGATAACTTGTATTTTATGGCTTAGAATGGGTCTATCTTGGTGAATGTTTCATGTGAGCTTGCGAAGAATGTACTTTCTGCTGTTGCTGGATGGAGTCATCTATAAATGTCAATTAGGTCAATTTGATTGATAGAGTTAGTTAAGTCAATATATTCTTACTGATATTCTTCTTGCTGGATCTGTCAATTGCTAGTAGAGGTGTGTTGAAGTCTCCAACTATATGAGGAGACTTGTATCTCTCTTTGCAGTTCCATCAATTTATAAGCACATATTTTGAATTTCTGTTGGTAGGTGCAGACAGCAGACGTGTTTAGGATTTTTATGTTTGTTGTTGAATAGAGGCTTTTATCATTACAAAATGCTCCATTTAGGCATAATATTCCCAGTTTAAAGTTTGAATTGTTTAAAATTAATATAGCTAATTTAACTTTCTTTTGATTGATGTATTAATATTATAATAGTATATGCTTTTCAAGTCCTTTACTTTTAACACATGTGAGTCTTGATATATGAAGCAGGTGTTCTATAGACAAGATAAAATTACGGATTTTTTCAATCCACTTTGAAAAGGTCTATCTTTTAACTGTATTTAAACCACTATTATTTAAAGTGATTATTGTTATATGTGGATTGACACCATATTTGTAGTGGCTTTTTGTTCTGGGTGTTTGCTTTTCTTTGTCTTCATTTTTTCAATCTTTTTCTGCTTTCTATGGTTTAAATTGAGCACTTTATATAATTCCATTTTATCCTCTCTCTTTGCATATCACTTATACCTCTTTTTAAAAGTACTTGGTGTCCTGATGTTTGTATTGTACATTTTTAAAATAATCTATGCCCATTTTCAAAAAATACTGTAGATCTTCACGGGTAGTGCAGGTGCCTTATGACAGAGTCTAATTCTGCTGAATTTCTTGCTTTCATCCTTTATAACATTGCTTTTATTTATTTTGCTTATACATATGCTATAAGATGACAGAATACATTGTAACTATTATTATTTTTAACAATCACCTTTTGGAGCAATTAAGAATAGTATAAATGAAATATTTTATGTTACTTTGACTTATTCTTTCTCTAATAGTCTTCTGTTCTTTATCTAGATTCCACTCTCTTACCTATATCACTTTCCTTCTCTCTGAAGAACTTCTTTTAACATTCCTTGCATGGTCTGCTTATGCTGAGTTCCCCCAATTTTTGTTTGTTTGAGAAAGCTTTATTTCTACTTCATTTTTTGAAGGAAAATGGTGCTGAATATAGACTTGTTGGCTGGTGGTTACTCTCTTCCAAAAGGTTAACTGTTTCTCTCCATTTTCTTTTTTCTTCTGAAGACTAGAAGATTATCAATTTTTTTTAATTTTTGGATTTAAACTTAGATTTGGTAATGCATTATCCATGATAACCACAATAGGTTTTGTTGAAATTGTGTTCTTCTAAAAATATATTCAGCTTTCTAGTCTCTGCCTTCCCAGAAGAGCTAAATTTATTCATGTATTCATCAAATATTTATTAATCAAGTGTAATGTGGCAGGGACTGTTTTATTCTGTGTGTTAAACATCAATAACAACATCAAAATTTCTTACCAGCATAAAGCTTATCCTTCAATAAGCATTAATGTACATTGACTTATTTCTTCTATAAGGAATTTCTCTTTCTATAATAGTATACATTACATCTTAGAGATTTAATAATAGACAATATCTCATATATATTTTTTCCTATAAGGCTGAAGCAGATAGGTTTTTTTTTCCTCATCATCTATGTTTCTATGTTTTACTTTCTCTTTAATTGATATGCAATAACTGCATGTATTTATGGAAGACAAACTTATGTTTTATACATGTAAACTTTGGTAATGATCAAATCAGGGTAATTAGCAAATCCATCACCTCAAACATTTATCATTTCTTTGTTATGAAAACATTCTAAATTTTATCTTCTAGCTATTTTGAAATATACATTATTTTTAACTATAGTCACCCTACTGTGCAATAGAACACCAGCATTTATTCTTGCTAACTGTAACTTTGTATTCATTGATCACCCTTTCCTCATTTCCCTTCCCTTCTCCTCTCCCAAGCCTCTGATAACTACTTTTCTGCTTTCTACCTTTATGAGATTTATGAGATCAACTTTTTTAGATTCCACATTTGAGTGAGATCATGTGGTATTTGTCTTTCTTTGTCTGGCTTATTTTATTTAATATAATGTGTTCCAGGTTCATTGATACTGTTGTAAATGATAGGATTTCTTTCTTTGTTATGGCTAAATAGTATTCCACTATGTATATAGATCACATTTTTTAATCCATCCTTCTACTAATAAACACATTGATTTCATGTCTGAGCTATTGTGAATAATGCTGCAACAAACACAGGAGTGTAGATATCTCTTGTGAATAATGCTGCAACAAATACAGGACTGCAGATATCTCTTGAATATACGAATTTCCTTTCCTTTACATATGTACCCAGTAGTGGGATTGGGATTGTTAGATAACATAATAGTTCTTTTTTTTTTTAGGACAGAGTCTCACTCTGTCACACAGGCTGCAGTGGCATGATCTCAGCTCACTGCAACCTCTGTCTCCTAGGTTCAAGTGAGTCTCCTGCCTCAACCTCCCATGGAGTTGGGATTACAGGTGTGTGCCACCATGCCTGGCTAATTTTTGTATTTTTAGTAAAGATGGGGTTTCGCCATGTTGACCAGGCTGGTCTTGAACTCCTGACCTCAAGTGATCAACTCACCTTGGCCTCCTAAAATACTAGGATTACAGGCATTAGCCACCATGCCTGGCCCACATAGTAGTTCTATTTTTAATTTTTTTGAGGAACTTCCATACTATTTTTCCTAATGGCTATACTTATTTACATTCTTATCAACACTGTGTAAGAGTTCTCTTTCCACCACATTCTCACTAACACTTGTTTCCTTTTGTCTTTTTGATAATAGCCATTCTAACTAGAGTGAAGTGATAGCTTATTGTGGTTTTCATTTGCATTTCCCTGATGATTAGTGATGTTGAACATTTTTTCATATACCTGTTGCCCATTTGAATGTCTTCTTTTGAGAAATATGTATAAGATATGTTGTTGAATTTTAAATTGGATTATTTGCCTGCTATTGAGTTATTTTAGTTCCTTACATATTCTGGATATTAACCTGTTGTTAGATGTATAGTTTGCAAGTATTTTCTCTTGTTTTGTAGGTTCCTTCTTCACTCTGTTGATTTTTTTTTCTTTGCTGTGCAGAAGTTTTTTGGTTTGATGTAATTCCATTTGTCTTTTTGTTTTGTTTTGTTGTTTATTTGTTTTGTTCTTTGGGTTTTCTTATCAATTACATTCTTACCCAGACCACTGTCTTGAAAGTTTTCTCCTGTTTTCTTCTAGTGATACATAGTTTTGGGTCTTATAGTTAAGTCTTTAATCTATTTTGAGTTGATTTTTGCATATGATGAAAGACTGTGGTCTAGAATCATTTTTCTCCACGTGGATATCCAATTTCCCCAGGATCATTCATTGAAAAGACCATACTTTCCCCATATGTGTTCTTGGTGTCTTTGTTAAAAATCAGTTGGCTGCAAATATGTGGATTTATTGCTGTATTCTCGGATTTATTATATTGATATATGTGTCTGCTTTTCTGCCAGTGCCATGCTGTTTTGATTACTATAGCTTTGTAGATTTGATAGGTTCAAAACATCAGTGCCATTATTTACAGAAATAGAAAAAAAATCCTAACTTTTATATGAAACCACACAAGATCCCAAACAGGCAAAGCAATGCTAAGCAAAAGGAACAAAGCATTACACTAGCTGACTTCAAAATATACTACAAAGCTATAGTAATCTGCAGATGGCTTTGGTTAGAATGGACATTTTAACAATATTATCTCTTCCAATCCATGAATATGGGATTGCTTTTCATTAATTTGTGTCCTCTTCAATTTATTTCATTTATGTTTTATAGTTTTCAGTGTTCACGTGATAGGTTTGGATGTGTCCCCACCCAAATCTCACCTTGAATTGTAGCTCCCATAATTCCCACATATTGTAGGGGGAACCTGGTGGGAGATAATTGAATCTTGGGGGAAGTTTCGCCAATACTGTTCGCATGGTAGTAAATAAGTGTCTTGAGATATGATGGTTTTATAAGGGGAAACCCCTTTCATTTGGTCCTCATTCTTTCTCTTGTCTGCTGCCATGTGACATGACTTTCACCTTCCACCATGATTGTAAGGCCTCCCCAGCCACATGGAACTGTGAGCCCATTAAACCTCTTTTCCTTATAAATTACCCAGTCTCGGGTATCTCTTTATCAGCAGCATGAGAACAGACTAATACAACAAACTTGGTTAAACTTATTCCCAGGTATTTTATTATTTGTAGCTATTGTAAATGGGACCCACTTTTTCCACTTCTATTCAACATAATACCAGAAGTCCTAGCCAGAGTAATTAACCAAGATAAAGTTATAAAAGCTATCCAAATAGGAAAGAAGAAAGTTAAACTGTCCCATTTGCAGGTAACATTATCTTATATCCATAGAAAACCCTAAAGTCGTCACTAAAAAAATGTTAGAACTAATATACAAATTCAGTAAAGTTGTAGGATACAAAATAAACATGCAAAAATCAATATTGTTTCTACACATGAATAGTAAACCATCTGAAAAAATTAGGAAAACAATTTCATTTCCAATAGCTACAAAGTAAATAAGATCCATTTTTATCTCCTTACTGAGAATTGAGTGGATCTTATAGCCTACTCATTCACCTAGGGTAGAACACTGAATGAATTGACTTTACGCTAGCTTCCCAATTACAATTTGAAACTTTTCTTGGTTTTGAAGCCTTGTCCTCTGTTCACAAAGCAGCCTTTAAAAGTCAAGGCTGTTGGTTACAAAGATTGGTAAATGTCTAAAAAGCAGCTATAACATTACTTTTACATTTTGGTTTCTAGCTCCCTCTTTGTTATATATCTCATTTTGTCCAGATTTATGAAGTAGTTTAGATTACATATGCTAGAGCAATATTTAAGATTTATTTATTTCTGTCCCCTTCTGTACCTTTATATACTTGCTTATTGCCAAATTCCAATTTCTCTTCTAAAGAACAGTATAATGTTTCTATTATATAAGTAATTTGATGCTTTCCAAATATAAAATAATTTAAAATGCTGGTAAAAAAGCTATCAGTTTACCCAGTGTCTATTTCATTGAACATAACCTGACTTATAAGTTCAAAAATAGTGAAGCTATATAATGCACATTTGAAAGTACACAGTTTTCTTGTTTCCTTTTTTGCTAATAGCTTTTATTTGCAAACTACTTATTTCATATTAAACCTACCTTTACTAATAGTTTATTTTATTAATCAATGTTTAAAGTTGTATTTATTTTGTTTTGAAGCTATTTTAACTTAGCTCTAAAATGAAATACTAATATTCACATATACTGTACCTAGAAAAATAGTGTAATTTTTAGAAATTATAAATTCAATTAAGTGTTCTTCTAAAGCAATTGGAAAATAATATGTGCTTTTGCTTGCAAAGCAGAAATTAAATGAATATTGGTGGCCTAAAGAAAATTATAGTTTAAGTGATTTCTTATTTTATTTATGCTGAACAAGTATAAATATTATATTTATTTGGTAATAATTATCTAATTTTTCGGTTATGTAAAGAATGCATCTATCTGTGCATTTTTAATATGGTCATTGCATTAAAACTTAACAGAGGCTATTTACTATTTGTATAAAGTTTATTTGCATCTTAATTAGAACTCTGAAAATCTGAAACAATATTGTAGTATACGAATAAATAGTTTCCATGTACACAACAGCTAAATGCACAAGCCAAAATCTCTCAGGCTATCCTAGGCAAACTTTTTCACTTTCCTATACAGACATACAAAATACATTTGAGTTCGAAATGATAGGTCTGCTCACTAGAAGAGAGAATATAAGACTTTTTTTATATGTCAGTGCTTCAGCTTGAATAAACATCTTGTACCACTTTAAACTTGACTACAAAGTGTTTTATAAGCTTCTCTATAGCCTTTGCAAGTTATTGAGGTTAATGGTCAATGCAATTGCCATCTCTTATGCAATAAACTACTTTATTTTGTCGGAGCGTTCTCTAAGGAGTAACACAAGCATAAAGGGTATATTCAGCATACATGAAATATAACCCTATTCGAGTAGCCAACTAAATTACAGAATCTCTGAAGCAGAAAAGCTGCCAACTCTGTAAAATGATGGTCTTTCTATTCTTGAATGAAATGAAATGATAAGGCTGCTGATTTCAATAAAAGAATTTAAACCAAAAATCCAGAGTCATACAAAATGAACCTAATAAAATTGGAATGGCAGTACACATAATCTATTTGCTGATTGCATTGAAGGAAAAAAAAGAGGCTAATCAGAATGGCTATGAATATGCTAGCTCATTTTGAAAAAGAACAAATGATAAGAAAAAGAGTAGTAAACTACTTCTTCAACCCAAGGATTACTATCCCAAAGCGCCTGTTCAAATATGCTGTCATCACTGCATTTATCATAGTCAAAGACCTGGATATTAAAGTTGATAATATTTCTAGGCACCAGGAACTGGATTTTTAACTAGAGATCTAAAAACATGATCTTAGTTATAATATACTTACTAATAATATACTTAATAATGGTGATTTATATCACATTGAAATTTATTTGATGACTTGAAACTTGTAGTTGGAGCCTTTGCAACTTTTATATGTTTTATATGTTGCAATACTTGCTGTTTAATTATCATAAGACCCTACATTCTATACTAAAATTTTTTCTTGACTTTTCCCCCATGCCTACAAATCATCAATTCCCAATTAGCTGCCAATGAAAAACTAATACTTCTTCATAATCAGCTACTAAGAAATTTGATAGATGAAAAAAGTAAGTCAAGAAATAAAGAGTCTGGTAAGAAAGCTACTTTAAAACCACTTCATTTCTACTTTTGTATTTCGAGCTTTGTATTCAAGCTTGCAACTAAAATGATGTTCAGTGAAAAGTCAAAAGATGCTTATGTATTTTACTCTTTATATGAATCATAAGGAAAGTTTTCTTGGCATAATACATAAGGTCATACATAGTTTTGTGCTATTTAATATAAACATTAGTTAACTATATTTATAGGATAGCTAAAGATCTGAAGTTTGCAATGTGTTCCACATCCTCCCTCCCCTGTAAAAATTCATATTTCTCACAGATACATGGTTAGGAGATTTTTGGCTAGGACAATTGTGAAAATCTTTGGGAAAAGATCTAAACACATTTTTAAAAACTTACTAAGTAGGTTATTAATGAGATCTAATTCTTATTAAGTACCTAATACATGCCATGAGCTGAGGCTATAAAGACAAATATATCAGAAATCTGTATTCTCAAGGAAACCAAACTCAGGGACAGAAAGACATCATTATTTATTGACTGCTAGGCAATGTCTCAAGTAGCCACATCTAACAACACTTAACAAAATAGCTGCTAGCATCCTAGTTTTATAGATGAGATTAAAATGTGTGAAAATAAATGTAAATCAATTGAATAAATCCTAGAGAAATATATTCCAAATGTTATATGAGGCCAGAGCAAGAGTTAATTCATTGTTTAGCACAAAGAATTACCAAGACTTTCAAGTGTGGAATTTAAGTCAGTCTTTCAGATGAGGCAAAGAGTAAGCTAAATGGAAGATATGATATTATTTATCTATTGCTGCTGAGTAATAATTATCACAAATTTGGTGATTTAAAAATACATTTATTATCTCACAGTTTCTGTGCATCAGAAATTTGTCCATGGCTTAGCTGCATCTTCTACTTAGGATTTACAAAGCTGCATTCAATATGTTCACCAGGGCTGCAGCTCATCTGATACTCAAACGATGAAAAATCAGGGAACAATACCTTTATGAATTCACCCAGGTTCATGATAGAATTCAGTTCCTTGTAGATTTAAGACTGAGGTCTCTAGTTTGTGACTCTCTGTTAATTAGAAACCACCCCAGCTCCCAGAAGCTACCCAGAGTCCCTTGCCATTTGGGTATCCTCAACTTGATCTTTTGCTTCCTCAAAGCTAGCTAGGGAGAGAGATTCCAGCAAGGTGGGCACTATAGTATTACGTAATGTAATCACCCAGTCACATACACAGGTGAACATTACCAACTGTCATCTTTGCCATATTCTATTTACTAGAAGTAATCCATAGCTTCCAACACATTGTAGAGAACTATACAAGGTCATGAATACCAGGAAGCAGGGACATGGAGGAACTTAAAAGTCAGTCTGCCATAGGTAGTATTAAATGAAGAAGATAATGTCTAGGTGAAGTGCATGCAGCAAATAGGTAAGTAGAGAAAAAGGTGGGAAGAAATAATTTATACACATACCTTAGAAGAATATAGTGGCTTATGTTTCTAATAATGCTGAATCATACTTATGTCAAAAAATAAAATTATAGTAACATCTCAAGAAATGTTAATAATAATAATAGTGGCTATCACTTAGCTAAGACATCCTGTACTGTGTTGAGTGTTATGTATATAGTTCTCATATTTAGCAAATAAAAATAGATGTTACCTCATTAAATTTGAATTTTATATAAATAAAAATGATATTTTTGTATTTATAGGTTCCAATTTTTTTAGTATGGTTTATTCAAATACTTGGGATGTACCTGTACTAAAATGTTTTCTTATTTATTTGAAAATCAAATTAAATAGGAATTAACTGTATTTTATCTGGCAACTTAATTATGTATGTATTATCTTATTTGCTACTGACAAAAACAAGGAAAATACTATTAATATCATCATTTTCATTGTCATCTTAAAGATTATTTAACTGTAACTTAAAAATTGTTTGCCATTGTTTGTAGTGTAGATTTTTTAAGTGAAGGAAAGTGTTCAAATACAATTTTAATGCAGTTAAAAGAGGCAGCTGTTTTGACAGTAAATTGTAAATTTATTGCCTTTCAGCATAAAAACAATTCTTTTATATTTACTCAATGAATTAGAAAACTAAAAGAGTATATTAACGAAAATAATTTAAAACTAGATATACTTGCAAGACAAATGTGGACAATAGCAATAATTAAATTTAGGAGGTGGGAAGGCCTAGTAAGAACAGCATTGCTGTGGTATTCTAGCAGTGGCAGACCTCAGATACAGAAATCTAATGGAGTAGGAGATGAAGGATGTTGGTGGAGTCTCACCGTGGTAAAGTGTAACATACGCTATGAAGAGTACTCTGTAATCCTTGGGTTATTTTATTGCTAACTCTGTTTCTTAAGTCCATCAAATCTATGTTGAATTCAGCTTCAGCAAAGGTCTCTTTTAAACTTGACTTTTATTCTCCTATTGGGCATTGCTTTAATATGTGTTATAATCTAGCAAATTCTCTTTCTCTCTTCCTGCAGGATAATGAAAGCTGGTGTAAGCAATCAAAATAAACATGAGTTAACCAAAATAAACATGAGTCATTTCTCCTAAGAAGACATTGCATTCTCTATGTCTAGTAACCTTATAAATACTGTATTTAGTTTGGGGGCCTGAGATGTATATTACAAAATAAGGTGTTTCTGAATCTAATTTCTCACAGTGATTAAGATGGAAAGATTTACAAATATTCAAAAATCATCCACAGTGGCAATGTTGTGTAAGAATAAAGCATTGTTTGCTGAGGGGAGGCAAGATTTGCTGGTTGAATATTACATTAGATTTTTTCACTTCTCAAAATTATTGTAGATCCAATAAGCTCTTACTAACCTTACTGTATATGTTAAACAATATATCATTTCTACATTGTCTCTACTATCTCTCTCTGCTCTCATTTCACTCTAATTTCTAATTTTATTTATTCACATATATATTTACTTAATTTGTCTATAACCAAATGTATTTATGGCAAAAAGTATGTAAACCTTCAACCAAGCCTAGAATATATAATACAGGAAAGGTAACTATATATTTTACATCAACATTTTGCAAATAAACAAGAAAAGTAGATTTTTACATGTGTCTGTTAGGATAGATTATATTATAGGTTATGCATTAAAAAAAATAGCATCCATGTTTCCATGGCTAAACACAATCAAAATTTGCTATCTGCTAATGTTATGTTCCCAAAACAGGTTGGCAGGAAGTTCTATTCTCTATACATACCAAAGGCCCTAAGTGAAAAGAGGCTGCATCTAGGAAATGAAAGTGCAGCATCATGTACTTATGCATTAGTTCTTAAAGCCCTTACCCAGGAGTGACACAAGTCATTTTGGCTTTACTATGTTTGCCCATAATTATATGGGGAGAGGAAAATACAATCCTACCATTGGCCTAGAAGGAGACTAGAAATGTTTGGTAAGAAGTATAAATAACTACTGCTCAAAATTATGAACAAAATTGATTTTTTTTTAAATGTCACCTTATTGAATGTTTGTGGAGAATTCAACAAGCAGACAGATAAATATTTATACCTGGAGATTAAAGAAAACACCTAATTAAGCAGGCATGGAATTGATTTTGCTATAGATACATTATGAGCACAAATTCACAATTTTATCTAATAAGTTCCCCAGAGAAAAACAAAAGAAGTGGCTCTCTAGATACATCAGTAATGTGTACTTTTTCTTCCACTAACTAGAGTAAATGTATTAAAGAGAGTCTTCAGTCAGGTTACTTAAGAAAGAATAAACAGCAAGTAAGTGATGTGCTTTCTAAGCTTCTTTATTCTTAAGACAATCAACCACAAATTTTCAATTTGAATACTTTATAAAGAATATGTGAATTCTCACTTTACATATGATTATTAATTTCCATTTTAAAATATCAAAATATTTAGAGATACCTGAATGTTTTCTTCACTGCGAACCTAAGGAGATACCACTGGATATAATTTTTATGTAAAATAATGGTGAAAACGCAAGCATAGTCAAAAAAGACACTTTTTTTTTGATATGGTTTGGCTCTGTGTTCCCACCCAAATCTTGCCTTGAATTGTAATAATATCCACATGTCAAGGGTGAGACCAGGTGGAGGTAATTGAATCAAGGGGGCAGTCTCCCCCATGCTGCTGTTCTCATGATAGTGAGTGAGTTCTCATAAGATCTGATAGTTTTATAGTTTTATAAGGAGCATCCTCCTTCACTCAACACACATTCTCTCTCCCTCATTCATCTCCTTCTCTCTCCTGTCACCCTGTGAAGAGGTGCCTTCTACCAAAAGAGTATGTTTCCTGGGGCCTCCCCAGCTATGTGGCACTGAGTCAACTAAACCTCTTTTCTTTATAAATTACCCAGTCTCAGATATTTCTTCACAGCAGCATGAGAACAGACTAGTAAAATATACTGGTACTGCAGAGAGTAGGCGGCTGCTATAAAGATACCAAAAATGTGGAAGCAACTTTGGAAATGGGTAACAGGCAGAGGTTGGAACAGTTTCAAAGACTCAGAAGAAGACAGAAAGATGTGGGAAAGTTTGGACTTCCTAGAGACTTGTTGATTGGCTTTGACCAAAATGATGATAGTGATATAAACAATGAAGTCCAGGCTGGGATGGTCTCAGATGCAGATAGGTATTTGTTGGGAACTGGAGTGAAGGTCACTCTTGCTATGCAAAGGGACTGATGGCATTTTTGCCTCTGCCTTAGAAGTCTGTGGAACTTTGAACTTGAGAGAGATGATTTAGAGTATCTGGCGGAAGAAATTCCTAAGCAGCAAAGGATTAAAGAGGAAGCAGAACATAAAAGTTTGGAAAATTTGCAGCCTAATGATGCAATAGAAGATAAAAGCCCATTTTCTGGGGAGAAATTCAAGCCTGCTGCAGAAATTTGCATAAGTAATGAGGAACTGGATGTTAATCACCAAGACAATGGAGAAAATGTCTCAAGTGCATGTCAGAGACCTTCATGTCATCCCCTTCCATCACAGGCTCAGAGGCCTAGGAGGGAAAAAATAACATTGTGGACTAAGCCCATGTTCTGCCTGTTCTATGCAGCCTCAGGACCTGGTGCCCTGCATCCCAGCTGCTTCAGCTCTAGCTGTGGCTAAAAGGGGCCAAAGTACAGCTCTAGTCATTGCTTCAGAGAGTATAAGTCCTAAGCCTTTGTGGCTTCCACATGGTGTTTGGCCTTCAGGTGCACAGAAGTTAAGAACTGAGGTTTGGGAACCTCCACATAGATTTCAGAAGATGTATGGAAATGACGGATGTCCAGGCAGAAGTTTGCTGCAGGGGTGCAGCCCTCTTGGAGAACCTCTGCTAAGGCAGTAGAGAAGGGAAATATGGGGATGGAGCCCCCACACAGAGTCCCCAGTGGGACACTGCCTAGTAGAGCTGTGAGAAGAGGGCTGCCATCTTCCAGAGCACAGAATAGTATTCTACCAACAACTTGCATCATGAGACTGGAAAAGCCACAGACACTGAAAACCAGCCCATGAAAGCAGCCAAGATGGGGGCTATATCCTGCAAAAACACAGCAGTGTAGCTGCCCAAGGCTGTGGGAGCCCACCTCTTGCATCAGCGTGACCTGGATGGGAGACATGGAATCAAAAGAGATTATTTTGGAACTTTAAGGTTTAATGACTACCTTGTTGGATTTCAGACTTGCATGGGGCCTGTAGCCCCTGTGTTTTGTCCAATCTCTCATTTGCAATGGGTGTACTTTTCCAATGCCTGTACCCCCATTGTATCTAGGAAGTAACTAACTTGCTTTTGATTTTACAGGCTTATAGGTGGAAGGACTTGCCTTGTCTTAGATGAGACTTTGGATTTGGAATTTTGGGTTAATGCTGTAATGAGTTAAGACTTTGGAGGACTGTTGGAAGGGCATGATTGTGTTTTGGAATTTGAGGACATGAGATTTGGAAGGGTCCAAGGATGGAATGATATGGTTTGGCTCTGTATCCTCACCCAAATCTTGCCTTGAATTGTAATAATACCCAGTGTCAAAGGTGGGACCAGGTGGAGGTAATTTGGAGGCAGATTCTCCCATGCTGTTCTCTATGGTGAGTGAGTTCTCATGAGATCTGATGGTTTTATAAGGGAATTCCACCTTTGCTTGGCACTCATTATCTCCTGCCACCCTGTGAAGAGTTGCCTTCAACCAAAATTGTAAGTTTCCTGAGGCCTCCCCAGCTATGTGGAACTGAGTTAACTAAACCTCTTTTTTTAATAAATTACCCTGTCTAGGGTATTTCTTCATAGCAGCATGAGAACAGACTAATACATAAGCAGAGACAAAAAGGACACATTCTTTATAATTTTTTTTTAGTAAACGCTTTTTTTAACCTAAAGAGTTAAAAAAGACACATAATAATTGTACAATTTATGGTGTACACAGTAATGATTCAATACATATACATAATGTATACTGATATATAATGCATATTGATCAGATTTGGGTAACTAAAATATCTGTTATCTTAAACATTTCATTTTTTTGTGTTAGACATATTCAATATTTTCTTTCTAGCTGTTTATGACCATAAAACTCATCCTACCATGTGATTAAACACTATAACTTATTTCTCCTATCTAGCTGTAATTTTGTATCCTTTAACAAGTATCTCCCTATGCTGCCCTTCCCCTGACTCTTCTCAGCTTCTAGTAACCTCTGTCTACTTTCTACTTCTATGAGATTAATATTTTTTAGCTTTCACATATGCGTGAAAAGATAAGGTGATTAACTTTCTGTTCATGGCTTAGTTCACATAACATAACGTTCTCCAGTTCCAAGTTCCATCTGTGTTGTTACAAATGACAGGATTTTATTCTTCCTTTTGGTTGAATAGTATTACCTGGTATATATATATATATATATATATATGGTATTACATGGTAATATATATATAGTATTACATGGTTATATATATATATAGTATTACATGGTTATATATATATAGTATTACATGGTAATATATATATACTACCATGTATATATTACGAGATACATATATATGTGTGTGTGTGTGTGTGTGTGTATACATCATGTTTTCTTTATCCATTAATCAGGTTGTTGCACACCTAGGTTGATTCCATATTATTGGCTATTGCAAATAGTGCTGCAATAAACATGCAGGTACAGATGTCGCATCAATATAATAATTTATTTTCCTTAGGATATATACCCAGTAGTGGAATTGCTGAATCATATGGTAGCTTTATTTGTAGTTTTTGAGGAACCTCTATGCTAGTCACCATAGTGGCTACCATAGTTAACATTACCTCCAACAATGTATAAGTGCTCCCTATTCCCTATTCTTACCAACATTTGTACTTTTTGTCTTTTTTATAGTAGCCATCCTAACTTGAGAGAGATAATATTTGATTGCAGTTTTGATTTGCATTTCCCCAGTGATTAGTGACGTTGAGCATTTTTTATATAGTTGTTGGTCATTTGTATATCTTCTTTTGAGAAAGATCTGTTCAGATCATTTGCCTAATTTTTAATTGAGTTGATTGTTTTTTGTTGTTGTTGAGATGTTTGAGTTCCTTTTATATTCTGGATATTAATTCCCTCTCAGATGAATGTTTGAAAATATTTTTATCCCATTCTGTAGGTTGTCTCTGCCCTCTGTAGGTTGTCTCTGCACTCTGTTGACTGTTATCTTTGCTGGGCAGAAGCTTTGGAGTTTGATACAATTATATTTGCCAATCTTTGCTTTTTTTGCCTCTGCTTTTGAGGTCTTATTCATAAAATACTTTTTCAAACCAGTGTCCTAAGGATTTGCTCTGTTTGCATCTAGTTGTTTTATATTTGCATGTCTTACAGTTAGGTCTTTGATTCATTTTCAGTTGATTTTTGTATAGGGACAGAGATAGAGGTCTAGTTTTATTCTTCTGCATAAGTATATCCAGTTTTTTTATAGCACCATTTATTGAAGACACTGTCTTTTATCCAATGAGTGTTCTTGGTATCACTGTCAGAAATCAATTGGCTATAGATATTTGGATTAGTTTCTGGATATTTTATTCTGTTCCATTGGCCTATGTGTTTATTTTTATGCCATTACCATACTGTTTTGATAATGGCATACAAATAAACTAAATAAATGCTTTTACAAAACGTTAGCCAAAACAATATGTAGTATACTTTGAAGTCTGGTAGTGTAATGCCTTCAGCTTGGTTCATTTTTCTCAGAATTGCTTTGGCTATTTGAGGACTTTTGTGGTTCCATATTGAGGAATGTCATTGCTATTTTTATAGAAACTATTGAACCTACAGATTGCTTTGAATAGTAAGGTCATTTTAATAATATTAATTTCAACCCATGAACATGAAATAATATTCATCTGTTTGTATCCTTTTCAATTATTTCCATCAGTGTAATGTAGTTCGTCTGGTAGAGATCTTTCAATCCCTTTATTAAATTTATTACTAGGCATTTTTATCCTTGTACCAAGTGTAAGTAGGAATGCTTTCTTCATTTCTTTTCCAGCTAATTCATTGTTGTTGTTTAGAAATGCTACTGAATTTTGCATGTTGATTTTGTGTCCAAATTTTGTAACAAATTTCACTGAATTTGTCATTATTTCTATGAAATTTTTGTAGTCTTTAGACTCTATCTCTCCCATCATCTACAAACAGGGACAATTTGACTTTCTTCTTTCCTATCTGGATGCCTTTTATTTCTTTCTTTTGGCTAATGCTCTCAGTAGAAATTTCAGTACTTCGTTGAATAAGAGTGGAGAGAGTGGGAATCCTTGCCTTATTCTAGTTCTTAAATGAGATACTTTCAGCTTTTACCCATTCAGAATGATATTTGCACTAGATTTCCATATATGGCCTTTATTGTATTGAGGTATGTTCCTAAGTTATTGAGAGCTTTTATTATGAAAGAATGTTGAATTTTATCACATGCTTTTTCTGTCTATTGAGATTATTATATGGGTTTTTCTCCTTCATTTTTTGATGTGATGTATGATACTTATTGATATGTGTTTGTGTTGAAACATTCTTGAATTCCTGGGATAAAACCCACTTGTTCATGATGCATTATCCTTGTATGTGCTTTTGGACAAAGTTTGTTAGTATGTAATTGATTTTTGCATCTATGTTCATCAGAAATATTGGCGTGTAATTTTCTTTTTCAGTTGTATCCTTGTTTGGTTTTGATATCAGGGTTATCCTAGTCAAGTGTATTGAGTTAGGAAGAAGTCCCTCTGCTTCAGTTTTTTGACATAGTTTGAGAATAATTGGTAACAATTATTCTTTAAATGTTTGGTAGAATTTAGTAGTGAAGACATCAGTCTCATTACCAGTTACTGGTCTGTTCAGGTTTTTCTATTTCTTCTTGGTTCAATATTGGTAAGTTTTATCTTTCCAGGAGTTTATCCATTTCCTCTAGGTTTTTTAAATATATTGGCATATAGTTGTTCATTTTAGTAATATATAATGTTCTTCTTTGTCTCTTTTTACCAATTTTGACTTGAAGTCTGTTTTGTCTGATAGAAGTGTGGATACTCCTGATCATTGTTTGTTCCTGTTTTCATGAAATATATTTATCTATTCCTTCACTTTTAGTGTATGTGTGTCTTTATAGATGAGATGAGTTGCTTATAGCCAGTATATAGTTGGGTCTTATTTTAATCTATTTGGACAGTCTATAAATTTTAAATAGAAAATTTAACCTTTGTATATTCAAGATTATTATTGATAGATGAGGACTTATGACTGTCATTTTATTAATCATTTTTTGGTTGTTTTGATCCTTTTTTGCTACTTTATCTTTGGTATTTGTTTTCGAAGTTGGGTGGTTTTCTGTAGTAATAAGCTCAACTTCTTTCTCTTTCTCCCTAGTGCATCAGCTCTAACAGTGAGTTTTATAGTTTTAAATGTTTTCATGATGGAAGTTATTGTGTTTTCACTTTCTGATGTAGGACTCCCTTGAGCATAACTTGGAAGCCTGTTCTAGTGGGAATGAATTCCCTTAGTGCTTTTTTTGCCTGTGAATGGTATTATTTCTGTTTCATTTCTGAAAGATAACTTTGCTGAGTATAATATTCCTGGCTGACAGTATTTTTTTTTTATTTTTCTTTCAGTACTTTGTATATCATCCCATTTTTCACCTGGCATGTAAGGTTTTTGCTGAGAAATCTGCTGTTAATATAATGGGGATTTCTTTATATGTGACTTGCTGCTTTCCTCTTGCTGCTTTTAAAATTCTGTTTTTGTCTTTGACTTTTGACAACCTGACTATAATGTGCCTTGGAAAGGAATTGTTTTGTTGAATCTATTGGGAGTTCTTTGTGCTTCCCGGACAAAGATGCCCATCTCCCTCATAAAACTTGGAAACTACTCAGTTATTATTATTATAATTATTATTATTATTTGAGATGGAATTTTTGCTCTGTTGCCCAGGCTGGAGCAAAATGGCATGATGTTGGCTAACTGCAGCCTCCACCTCCTGGGTTCAAGTGATTCTCCTGCCTCAACCTCGCAAATAGCAGGGATTACAGGCAACAGCCACCATACCTGGTTAATTTTTGTATTTTTAGTAGAGACAAGGTTTCACCATGATGGCCAGGCTGGTCTCAAACTCTTGACCTCAGGTGATCCACCCACCTCGGCTACCCAAAGTGCAGGGATTACAAGCATGAGCCACTATGCCCAGACAGTTATTATTTTATTAAATATTTTCTATACCTTTTCCCTTCTCTTCTCTTCTAGAATGTCCATAATACAAATATATGTTTAATGGTGTCCCACAATTTTCGTAGCTTTCTTCATTTATTTTGTTTTTCCTTTATTTTTTCTTTTTAAATTTTTATCTGCCTGTTTTATTTCAAAAGACCTGTCTTCAAGTCCAGGTATTCTTTCTTCTGCTTGGTATCATAGGTTGTTGAAGCCTGTTATTATAATTTTCTAGGGTGTTGAAAGAGGTAGATCAACCCCTTTCTGTACCTTAAAGTCATAACAATGAGAGGAGAAAAGAAATAGAAAATTTAGTACTAGCAATAACTTTAGGGCAGTGAAGAAGGGAAGAAAGCAGATTGTGGGCTTGTCTTAACAGAAGATGATGAAGGTAATGAGTATAAATGGGATTTGGTGGTTAACCTTTATTCTGAAAAGCCTCACAAGGCCACTGAAATTGTATCTAGTTCATTTTATTATTTTGTTGAATCTTGTTCTATAACCTCTAGTGTTGACCTGTCACAAAATAGTATATTTTAAAATTTAAAAAATAATAAAAATGAAAAGATTATGTCAGCATTTTTATGCTCACTTCTCTGAAATAGAAGTTGAAAATGTGTAAAATGGTCACACTTTATGTAAACAAGCACCAATTCAATCAGCATGAAAAAAACAAGCTGCTGTGTTTGATGATAAAGAGGAAAGATCTCCACTTGATTTTTTCCTTTTATATAACCTGTTATTAATATGTTTAAAGACACTTTTTTGGTTTTCTCTAAGCCTAACTCTGTAATTATAAAAGAAGTAAGAATGGAGACAATGAAAAACCAAGTTCATTTTTTTTTCTATTAAAAAGTTTCATCTAACTCAACAGGCATACCCTCATAACCACCAAAGCTGTAGCAGAAATGCTTAAAACTTAGGATCTCAAATCAAATTTCCCAGGCTTGACACCTACTTTTGACACTTCTCTGATGTATAATATGTAACAGGTTACTTAATCATTCTGTTCAAATTTTCTTCTCTGAAAACTTAGATAATAATATCTGCCTCGAGAGGTTAAGCAAATGACTAGAAAGGAAGTGAATAGGACAGTCTCATGCACATAACAATGAATAAAAGTTAGCTATTCTAATTTGCTATCCTCACAGTTTTATTATACATGTCTGCTACCTCTGGTATGTTGAAAAGTGTAATGACTTTTGTGTCTTGGTTTTTTTTTTTCAAATTGGACTAACACAATGCTGAATTGAATAATATCATCTATCACATTCTTCAATTTGTAACTTTTATCTGCATTGGCCATTTTATACATTTTATCTTTGTGTGTTTTTGGCCCATTCATCCTTACTTCATAATTTCATTACTCTTGAGAAGACCTACTTTTTATTCTATAATACTTTAATATATGTATTTAAATCCATTCAATTAGCTCTCATTGATCATTAAAAGTGTAAAAATTTAAAATTCATTGTAGAAATATTTTAACATTCAGTAGGTTGCATGTCTTATTGTGATTCTTGATAAGTCCTATATATTCACTGTACAATTAATTTAACTGGAGAATTTCTTTGCTTTCCCAAAGATTATTTTTGACTACTATTTAATTCTCTCTTTTCTCTCCATCTTGGTTTTACTCTTTCTTTTTAAATTAGGGTTGTCTCTTAAATTTCTGTTAAAAATATATTCCTTTCTTTCAGTATCTTTATATAATTAATTTCTTCCCTTGACTTGATTCTTTTCTTAATCCTTTCTTCTTTTGGATTGTTCTGTTATTGATTTACTAGCTTCTTGGCTTCAAAGTTTAGCTCATACAGATCTTGTTTTCTGACAAAACATGTAAAACTATACATTCTTAACAAAACACCACTTTAGGTACATTTGATATATTCTTATAGAGGTTTTTTATTGCCATTTGACTCTAAGAATTTTATAATTTCTCTTTTAATTCTTTTTCAAGAACCAGAATCAAAGAATCCTCCCCTAAACTCCTGAGGCATCATCTACATAGCATCTTTTCTTTAGAAAACTGGATCCCATCTCCAAGGAACCCCTATCTACTCTAGTTTTCAATAGTTACAACTTCTTTCCTTATTTTTCTCCAGTCTTTGGGGCGCTAGTTGCTTTCTGTAATTTCTGTCTCGTATTCATAGAGCTGATATTACTTAATCACATACGTAAACTTCAATTGTGTGGGTTGCAGAATTACAATATAAGTTGAATTCCAAACCTTGTCAATTCTCTCATGTGAAACTCAGGGGTAATTAATTGGGAGGAATTATGACCTTGAGACATAGAATGATAACATTTGTGTGGACTAAAATGAAGCTGAGAATGTTGAAAACTTTAGTTGCACTGAGCCTTCTTTGTAAGCAGAAGCAACTTGTTCTCTCTCAAGTCTGAGGAGGCAAATGTCCCTTGCTTAAAAACTCCATAATATCCTCATCTGGTGACAAAGGTCTTGTGAGGTCATGCTTACTATCCTCAAAAACAGCAAACAAACCCCAACACACTGTTGTTGCCTCCAAGTATATAACTATGGTTATATCTTAACATACTCCAGGATAGAAGTAAAATATACATGGGAGGAAACAGCTTTCACTTCACAAAAACTGTAAAGTTTTGCTAATTTATAATTTTATTTATTATTTTAGCAGAAACCTAAGAAATATGCATGCAAATGGATTCTAAGTTTCTCAATATAAAGATAACAGAGTACCTCAGAGTACCAGGACAAATTTATACACAAAAGTGAGTTTACCTTTCATGCTGGATTTAGTGTGTTTAACTTAGCTTAAAGTAGCTTTCATATATTACTCTTTGATTGACAAAAATTTGGACTAAATGGTGGTCAGTGTGTTCAATGATTTGCAATGACAAAATTGTTGTTGTCTAAAGCAAAATAAAGAATCCAAAGTATTAGGGACATATGAATGTTAGATCAGCTTTATAATGTGTTACCAGTACCCATTCCTCAAAGGTATTTTAAAAAGAAACTTTATTCAGCAAGATATTGAGAGATACATTGTAGAGGGCAGTGCTAGTTTCCCCAAAAATATCTGTGATAGATGTCTTCCATACGTGATGTAATTGAGACAGGTTCTCTGGTTTCAAAGGAAATCATGGGATCCTGGTGTAGCAGATGCCAAGAGGCATGATGCAAATACTAGAGACACGGTAGGCCCATTTACTAAAGAGGATGATAGAGATAATGTGTAATCAGAATGTTCTGATCTTCAGGGATAACTGGCAATGGCTTGCTGAGTAATGTGTACCTAGGATAAAACTGTTTAACAGCCTATTGCAATGTTACTTGATCTAGATACTAGGAATATCTCCAGACCTGGTGACCAGAAAACTGACTAAAATTAGAAAAATGAAGTTATATATTTTCACCATTGAGTTCAAATTTTAGTCAAATGTTAGGTTTCCAGACCTCAGCCAATTTACAAACTTGGTACACCGGCATTGAACTGAATTCCTTAGGACTTAAAAGACCACTTTGTTCCACTAGCTAAAGGAGACGATTATGCTTGTCAAGTGACAAATATAATTTTTGTCTCAAGTTCATATTGCAGAGCCCAGGTATTTCTGTGGACTTGTTCAGCATTGATAAAACCCATAAAAATTGCTCTCTGATATGTGGCTACAGGGTGTTTTTGTTAGGAAGGGCAAATGGAAGCTCTTTCTCTAGGAGTATAGTAAACCTGAAACAGTAAAACATTAACACACCCTTGGCAGTGGTGGGGGAGAGATGAGTGCCTCTATCAAAGACTTTGAAGATACAGTCATTGTGGACATCACCTCCCTATTACAGTCCCTGTTTGGTCTTTGGAGCAGGCTGAGGGATCTTCGTAATTGACTGTGGATTATATTAAATATAATCAGGAGGTTAGTTAACCTCATTAAGTTTAGCATCTTTCCTGAAACATTCGAGACAGTTCCTGACACCTGGCAAGCAACTATTGACTTGACAACTCTATCTTCTTTATACCAATTTTCAAGGATAATGAGAAGTTCTTTGTTTTTGCCTAGTAGGGATAAAACAACACATTCAAAACTTTGTCTTAGGGATATAGCAACTATCTTTCTTTCTTCCCTAATATATTCCTCAAATACCTTATTGTTTTCATATAACAGAACTCACACTGAGCCCTAAATAAATGACATTAAATTAATTTTGAATCTGATGACAAGGAAATAACAAGTACTTAAGTTAGCTTTATAAGACTCAGGTAAGCTAAGAGTTTGGATAAAATGCCCAGAGAATCTCGGGAGCCTGCTATATTGAAGGGGAGAGAGGTATACATCAATGATGTAAGCATGTCTGTACATTCTCTCCAAGGTAAAGAAGCTACTTTAAAGTTGGGAGAGGATTAGGACAAATACCTAATGTATACTGGGCTTAAAACCTAGATGGTGGGTTGATAAGTGCAGCAAACCACCATGGCACATGTATACCTATGTAACAAACTTGCACATTCAGCACATGTATCCCAGGACTTAAAGTAAAATAAAAAAAGAAGTTACTTTACTGTTTACTGTCCACCACTAAAAGAGAGACATGAAACTCCTAGGATATTTGGTATTGTAATGACAGCATATACTACATATGAGTGCACTATGCTAACTCACTAACTGAGAAAACCATAAAGCTGCTGGTTTTGTGTAGGTACCAGATGCAGATCAAGGGAATCTCTGCAGGTATCTCAGACTACAGTCTGATTCTACTGCTTGGGCTTTTACAAGCCGGAGGATTTGATGTTAAAATTCTCTATGATAGTGCCACACCAAGTATTATTCATAACCTCTCACAGTCTCAATAGTAAGATAGGAACATGCAACATTAGGCAAATAACCATATCACTAAGAGCATTGTTTAATATATATGTTTCTCAATTAAGCAGCAAATTGGTTTATAGTTTAGTACAAACAGCAGTTTGAGTTGTGCTCATTGATAAAGATGTTTATGAAGCCTCTGGAGAGCCTCCATAGAGGAATCACAGTTCAGACATCTAAGATTCTAGTATGAATCCATTCATTCCTCTGGAGATAATTATTTCACTTTTGGAAAACAGCTTCTGGCTACTTAGAGACCGTGGTAGAGACAGAATGTCATGGGGCCTCCAATGACCATACCACGTGTGTTGCCCCTCATGAATTGGGTATCCCTTTCCCTTCAAACCATAATGTTAGGCATGTGTAGCATCTATATTTTTTCAAGTGTACACAGTGGTTAAGAGACTGGGCTGAAGCCGGTCTGAACACAAATAAGTTACATGAGTAACTAGATTATGTTCCTTTTTCATCTGCTATTATTACATTTCATTCTCTCCCTCAATTCATACTTACAGTCTGATAGAAAGATCATTATGACTGCTAGTTTTCAGATGGATCCACATGATACCAACTGGAAGTGTACTTCTGCAGCAGTACAATTCCATTAAGAAGTATTTTTGAAAGAAAGAGATGAAAGAACTCTTTCTACTAAACATATCTTCAAACAGTGCATTTTATTGCCCAATTTGTTATTTGAGAGATGACTAGAAATGTGAATATACATTGATTTATGAACAACAGCTAATGGGTTTCCTACATGGCTAGAGGTTTGAAACCAGCAGGGTTGGAAATTTAGTGTCAAAATGGTCATGGGAAGAGATATGTGGAAGAACCTCTCAGAATAGAAACAAAAGGGATAGATATTTACATTTTGGATCCAGAGTGCCCACCAAAAGCCATCCATTGCAGACTAGACTTTCACTGATTAGATAGACAATATGATACATTCTGTGTATATCAGTTAATCATCTTACTCCTGGACATCTTAGTGCTTGCTCTGTAGTCTTATATACAAAATGTTAATAATGACACAGATGGAGGTTATGCATGGGCTCAAGAACATAGGTTTCCTTTTAAAAAGGCTCCATAGTCTCATTCTGAGCTCCTGATATGGCTTCATTCTCTGAAGGAACTAGGCTTCCACTCACTGGCACACTGATTACATTGGAATCCTTCCACAATGGAAGAAGCAATAATTTGTTCTCATTGGAATAAATAGTTTTTGAGTATGGATTTAATTTTACAGCTCATATTTCTCCTTCTAGTACTACCATCTGTAGAGTTAGAATGTCTTATTTACCATTATGGTATTCTCTGTAACATTGTTTCTGGTCAAATAATTCATTTCATAGCAAAATAAAATATACAATGGACTCATTCCATGAAATTCACTGAAACAATATTTCTTACAGAGCAGCTCATCTTGAAGAATTTTAGAATCATACTCTGAATAATCAACTATGATATCATGTAGGAGACAACATTCAGATTGGATGGAATCCTATCCTTCAAGAAAGGGCATCATACTTTTATTTGAATCAGTGTTCAACATATAGGGATATTTCTTCCATAGTGAGACTATCAACTCTGGAAACCAAGGCATGCTAGTGGGAATACTTTTGTTATTCTAAAGCTAATAATCCACTCAAACGATTCTTCCTTAAGATTCAAAAAATTTTAAGCTATGTGGGTTTGAAGATTTTAGTTTTCAAAGGAAATATGATTTTGCCTATGGATATACAATGATTACATTTAATTGGAAGTTTAAACTGCCTCCTGGACATGGTAGATGCCCCATGACATTGAACAAACACATAGGGAGGTTAGGCTACTGGCTGGGATAACTGCTTCTAACTATCAAAAGAATACTGGGCTTGCTGCTACAAAGTGGGAAAGAGATAAACAAGGTTTGAAATTCATGTGTTTTTTTTTTGGCATCTCTTATTACTTCTATATCAAGTATTGAAAGTGGGATAAAAACTTAAGATGACTCAGTATTCAACACAGTAAAAATGAAGACATAAATCACTCCATTAAGACCCAGAACAGGTGAAGTTTGGACTGAGGTCATGAATAATAGAAGAAGAAAAAGATAAATATAAACTATGACTTTGTGACATGTTACAGAAATGAGAATTTCAACTGCTATAATTTTTTTTTGCTTGTTATATATTTAATGGTATGTATTTACTTTCTCTCCTTTCTTCTCCTCCTCCAAATAAGTATATTTATCTTTACATTATGGATTATTACTAAATTTTCAGGAAAATTATTTTAAAAACTCACGTTCCATTATGTTTATTTTTGATAGACAATGGTATCCCTACCACAATAGAATAAGATAACTAAAGGTAGAAGTAGGTGGTAAAATTTGGATGCTGAGATACTGAGTTTAAATACTAGCTTTTTTTTTTTTTGTAAAGATGGGATCTCACTGTGTGACCCAGGCTAGTCTCAGACTCATGGGCTCAAAAGATCCCCCACCTTGGCCTCCCAAAATGTTATGATTACAGGCAGGAGCAACTGCATCTAGCCAGATGAGAATATTAAGGTTACTTAACTTCCCTAAAGATACATATTTTTTTCCTTTGTGTTTCACTTAGGAAAGTTTCTTCCTTTTTCTTATTTTTGAGACAGGGTCTCACTCTGTCATGCAGGCTGGAGTGCAGTGGCACGATCATGACTCACTGCAGCCTCAACCTCTTCAAGCTCAGGTGATCCTCCTGCCTTACCCTCCAGAGTAGCTGGGACTGCTGGTGCATGCCTCCACGTCCCACTATTTTTTGTATTTTTTATAGAGTCAGGGTCCTGCTATGTTTCCCAGGCTGGTCTCAAACTCCTGGGCTCAAGCCATCTTCCTGCCTTGGCCTCCCAAAGTACTGGAATTATAGGCATCTACAGGCATGAGCTACTGCACCTGGCTTAGTTTGTAAAGTTTCTATTAACCTATCTTCAAGCGTTCTGATTCCTTCTCAACTGTGTTAAGTTTACTGATGAACCTGTCAAAAGCATTTTTCTTTGCCGTTGCTGTTTTTGGTTTACAAAATTTTCCTTAGTTATCTTAGCTTCCAACTTTCTGCTTATATTATCTTAATAATATTGCATTCTGTCTACTTTTTTATTAGAGATTAGAATATAAACCATAATTATTTTTAATTCCATGTCTGATAATTACAACTTATGTGTCATATGTAAATCTGGTTCTGATGATTGCTTTGTCTCCTCAGACTGTGTTTTTTCTTGCCTTTTTACATCTTTTACAATTTTTTGGGGGGTGAAAGTTGTATTGGTAGTAGGAACTGGGTAATAGATCTATAGTGTGAGGGTTTATGTTAATCTGGTTAGGAGTTGGGGATGCATCTAACGTTTATTATAGTTATATGTAACAAATATTTCAAGTTCCTCTAGTGTCCTTATTTTTGTCTCCCTTCTTGGTTTTGGGCTTTGCTTTGTACTGCTTCTCTGAGAGCGTCTGTGTCTTACAGCCATTTCCTCTGTAATCTACTGCTATTATGCAGTGTTGTTACCCACCACAGGTTCCTGAGTTCCTGAGTTCTCAATGCAATAGAAATTGACATGAGGCCAAAACAGTTTTCATTGGAGTTTATGCCCAGGCATAAGGGAGGAAGCACATGAAAGAGGATAATCCCTTGACTGACTTTCCAAAAAGAGCTTGTAGAGCTTTTTTATTAGGCAAAGTCTGGGAATTGACATCAAGAGTATGGTATGCAAACTGGGCTGGGCAGCCTGGCTGGGCTATGAGGGGTAGGGTATGCAGAGCTGCATTATCTGGTTTCAATGCTTATCTTGAGTAATGGGCCGTCTGGTGGTCTGACGGGGGCAACAAGGCTGTAAATGAATTGTGTAGTATTCCTTCTTGAGGTGGGGGACTCCACAACCCTGGTTATCTCCTAAATTCCAGTTCCTGTAATTCTTTAAGTAAAAGGATTATTAGCAGTGGGGTAGTGGAGTGGGTTTTGTGATCAGTGGAAATTTACGAAAAAATGCTGTTGTGGGGGACGTGAGTACATCTCTACTCTGTCTCAGCATGATGCTAAAGTATGGGAAGGAGTGTTCTATAATCTTCTGATTACATCAAGTCTCTTATAGGCCTGCGTCTCAAGAGTGTGGCTTTTGCGAGTATTTCTGTTTTTTGTTTTCTAAAGGGATCTCTCTCTCTCTCTCTCTCTCTCTCTTTTTTCCTTCACATTCTCTCCGTCCTTAGTTGCAGTATTCCCAGTCTAGTTATTTAAATCCATCTTTCATGTTGACTATGGATTTTTATTTTCCCCCTTGGGTGAGACAGGAAGACCGTGGCAGGCTAGAGTGAGACAATGTTCCCTTACTCTAGCTGGGATAAGGTTTCAGTACTGCCCACTAGTGACATCTTTTTCCCTAGAGACTAGGCTTTTGTTAGGGAGAAGGATCTATGAGGGTTTCATAGTGATTACTCTTTTCCTCCCACTGTTACAGCCACAAGGAGTATCCTTTTTGAATTATGGACATGAAAACCTTGTGAAGTTCCTGGAGGAAAGTTAATAAGAATGTGGGTCCCCACTATGATTATTGCCAGAGTATATGCTTAATCCCATGCTAGTCCCCACTCACCCTCTAAGAACTAGTCAATATTACTAATTAAGTAATCTTACTCTTCCTACCATCTTATGGTATTCAGCAGCTTCTACTTTAAGTAAGCAAATCATGGACCTTTCATCTCTCTGGATGTGTCTGTCTCTCCGGATTTTATGGTAGCCATTTGCTTTGTGACCTCAGTTCTCTGATGGGTTCAAAAAAAGTTATTGACATTTTATTTGTCCAGCTTTTTTTGTTTTGAAGACAGGAGTAATGACTTCCAAATTCTTAATATGTTAGATCTGAAACCAGTACTATTATCTTTTTAAAAAAGAACTAAAAATACACATTGCAAAAGATTTAGTATTAATTGTGAGAATGAGTATTAATTGGTTTTATAAGCTATTAAATATTATGAAAATGTTAGATACTCTTATCAGATTTAACTTAAAATGTTTTTACAATTAGAAACCTTTCTTTCCTCTTCATAATCAAAGTGAGTGGATTAAGTAATATTTTTGGTTCTTTCTAACATGAGAAATGACTGTTTTTCTTAACCTTTTTAGTCAATATCTTGCTTTTAAATATCCATCAGAAACTGTGACCGTTCTTGGTTCACTTTTTCATGCTTGTGTTGAAACTACTAGAAACAACACTTTGGAATTGTAAAAATCAATAAGCCTTTTGATCTAACTCCTTCTAATGTCACTTTCCCATCTGGAGTTTTAGGTACCTTTATGATTCTTCTGACTAAAAATATTTCTTTTATATGTATACTTTTTGTTTTTTTGCTTCTATTACTTGAGGGAACAATTGATCCTCATCAACTTGCCAACATTTCCTTTTATTTGGTTGGCAGGATGCCTGCTCTTGTTCTAGAACTCTCAAAATATTTCTCAACTTTATAGAAATAGAATAGATTTATGCTACTTGCAGTAAGCTCGAACATAGAATTGTGAATTGTGGTCATAAAACTAGTGAGAAAGATAAAGTAGTGCTAATTAGCATGGAAAAGTAGAGAATCAATGGAACTCAGACCCAGGATACTGGCTGTGTATTATTGCGTAAGGTAGTGTACCTGTCTGAAACTCTATTTCCCAACACCAAAAAAAGTGTGTTCACATTGTAAGTTTTATATGGTTATTTAACAAGCATATGTTGAAAACCAACTCTTTGCCAGACACCATTCTAGATGCTGAGAACAGGCATGAACAACAAAGTCAAGTTTGTTGCAGTCATGGAGATTATTTCTAGAGTGAGGTTAACAACACATAAGAAAGAAATGAAGACCCAAGGAATTATCAGATGGTGATGAGTATTCTACAAAGGATTAAAGTAAGGGGATTTGATAGACTTCGTAGATGCTACTTTAGATCAGGTACTTAAGGAAGAAATCAAATCTAAATGACCAGGAATTAACCATGCAAAGTTAGAAGAAATTGCAGGCAGGAATAAAATTGGCAAAATTTGGATCCATAGAGAAGACTATCTTTCCTAGAGGATAGTAAGTAAGAAGGAAAAACATTATAAATTGAAAAATAGAGAAGACTGTGATCTGATATTATACGTATTTGTAAGCTAGGTAAGGAGCTTAGATTCTATTGCAAATATATTCAGAAACCACTGACAATGAATTGAAATTGGAATTTTCTTCCAATTCCAGTACCACTTATTTAAATAGCCCTCATCTTCATTCTTTGAAAATGTGGAAGTTAATATATACTTGAAGATTACAATCTTAAGTAATTTGCAAATGAGATAATGGATTTGAAGGTATTTGTAGTCATGTAAAAATTTATATTTATGTATTCTTGTGTAAAAGTCATATAATTTTTTATACTTATTTTATATATGAGAAAAATCTAGCTCTTGATTTTTAAATTATGTGTCATAAATTATTAAATCAGGCAATGTCAAAGATAGTATCTGAACCTAGGTTTTCAGACACTAAGAACTCAGCTCTTTTTATCAACTACATATTTTATCTGTGTAAAATGTGAATCATAGGGACCCAAATATATCTTCATTTGAAAAGCTGATGTTTCTTTCAACTTCTTCCCATTTTTTTATGGATTGACTCAACTCTCAAAATTGTTTGCTTTGCAGACATTTTTCTTTATTTTTGATTTTGTTATAAAACATATCTGGTTTTTTTCTTCTAGGTTTTCTTTTTTTTTCCAGCTAGAGTCATTTTATACAGCCCTGCTCCCTGAGCTTTATATTTTGTATCTTTTCCCAAGTCCACAAGTAATCATGTTTTCCCTTACATGTAAACCATTTATTTATTTTGTTTATTTAAGAATTTTATTTTTCTTTTCACTTTCTAAGTAATCCATGATAACTGCTAAGGTCTGATTATCTGTGCTCCTCCTGAATTCATATGTTAAAATTTTTGCCCCTGAAGTGATAATATGACTTTAGGAGGTGGGGCCTTTGAAAGTTGATTTAGTCATGAGGGTACAGTCCCAGTGAATAGCATTAGCACCCTCATAAAAGAGGCCTGAGAGAGACAAATTGCTTAGTCCAGGATGTGAGGACATGGTTAGATGGTGCCATCTATGAACCAGGACACTGGCTCTCATCAAACAATGAATTTTCTGGTGCCTTAATTTTGAACTTCTCAGCCTCCAGAAGAATGAGAAATTCATTTCTGTTGCTTAAACGCTACCAAGTTTATGGTATATTTTTATAGCAGCCCAGATAGACTAAGATAATAACTTACAAAAATTTTGAAACTTTATATTAAAATATTATTTTCCTCTTTATTTTTTATTTCACAAAATATATAACTGATAATTTCCACTAAATTTGTTTTCATTCCTTATTCCTTGTGAAAACTTCACACAAGTTAATTGATTTAATTCATTAAATATTTATGATTGGTTACCAGGTTTCAAACACTTGCTAGGTATTGTGAAAATAATGCAAAACAGAACACAACTGATCTTCAAATGATGGATTTCCCTACAGTTAGAGTTTTCAAGTGACTTTTGCTTATTAATTGCACCCTGGAGCACAGCTATGGCTATGGCATGGTGACTTGAATTTTGCCTTCAACACTAGGGAGAGAAACGTTTTAAACCTCTGATTGTGTGTCTCTAGCCACAGTTGCTAGCTACTCCTAGGTCCTGGTTGACCCTTTTAGTAGCCTGTGTAGCTGGACTGAGATTAAAAGCTCAGGTGAAAAGCAGGAAGAAAAATGATTGGGGCACTTAGTGTGTGTATGCCTCCTCTCTTCATAATGCTACAGATTTAAGAATGAATAAGGCTATTTTTTGTGATTTAAAATAACAAATCTTCCTATTTTCTTACTACATGTAAAAATAATGTTCTTTATTTAAAAATTCTATACCTTCCTCAGACAGCCAAAATCTGTATACTAAAAGAAGCCCAGTACATTTTGCTCATCAATAGCTAAGAAACAGAACAAGGACAGAATTCTGTTTTGTGACCAAAAGCTTAATCTTTTTTTCACTATTTTGACTACAATTTTTTTTAAATCCCATTATACTATCTAACTTCTAGACACAAGTATCATAATGATAACACTCTAAAAGCATAGATACTTTATTTTGTAATCTGTTTCAGACTTCCTAAATGATACATTGGAAAGAACGTTGATTTGGCAGTGATCTCACTAAATAATTTGCATGCAATAGTAGCAGCATCATCTATCACAGCTGACTATAAGAATCACCCTGACATTTATTAAGTGAAGTTTTATTGGTAACATAGATACATATTTGTCACTAAGTATAAAACTGTTAGTTTATACATAGACAATTTATAAAATATTGTATTCCAAAGTTTGTTTTGTTTTGTTTTAATCAGTTATGGAGAAATATGATACAGTAAAGAAAGCAAAAGGGAGGACATGGTTAGAATGTAAAGAAGAGTAGTAAATTCCAGGAACTTTTCAAATATAATTGAGTAATTTAGGAAAAGATATTTTACATTTTGATCCATTAACTCTTGATTTGTAAAATGATAAAAATATGCACGTTATACAGTGTTCCCTTGAGGATCAAATGGGATAATACAGATAACTATATTGGGCTGTTGTATTAGCCCATTTTCACACTGCTATAAAGATACTACCTGAGACTAGGTAATTTACAAACAAAAAAATGGTTTAATTGACTCATAGTTCCACATGGCTTGGGAGGCTTCAAGAAATTTACAATCATGGTACAAGGTGAAGGGGAAACAAGGTACATCTTACATGGTGGCAGGAGAGAGAGAGCACAAGGGAAAGTGCCACTTTTAAACCATCAGATCTCATGAGTACTCGCTCACTATCCCAAAAACAGCAAGGGGGAAGTTTGCCCCCATGATTCAATCACCTCCCACCAGGCCCCTCCTTCAACACATGAAGATTACAATTTGACGTTAAATTTTGATGGGGACACAGAGCCAAATCATGTCATCCATCCCCTGGCCCCTCCTAAATCACATGTTCTTCTCACATTTCAAAACACAATCATGCCTTCACCAACAATCCCCCAAAGTCTTACCTCATTCCAGAATTTACTTAGAAATTCAAGTCCAAAGTCTCATCTAATACAAGGCAAGTCCCTTCCACCTAAGAGTCTATAAAATAAAAAAAAAAAATTAGTTACTTCAAAAATACAGTGGGGATACATGCATTCAGTAAATGTTCCTGATCCAAATGACAGAAATTGGCCAAAATAAAGAGGCTACAGGCCCCATGCGAGTCTGAAATCCAGCAGAGCAGTAATTAAATCTTAAGCTCCAAAATGATCTCTTTTGACTGCATGTCTGACATCCAGGGCACAATGATGCAAGGGATTGGCTCCCAAGGCCTCGAGCAGCTCTGCCCCTGTGGTTCTGCAGGGTACAGCCCATACAGCTGCTTTCATGAGCTGGCATCGAGTGTCTGTGACTTTCCCAGGTACATGGTACAAGCTGTTGGTGGATCTACCATTCTGGGATCCAGAGGATGGTGGCCCTCTTCTCACAGCTCCACTAGGCAGTGCTTCAGTGAGGAATCTGTGTTGGGGCTCCAACCCCACATTTCCCCTCTTGCCCTCGTAGTGGTTCTCCATGAGGGCTCCACTCCTACAGCTGACTTCTGTTTGGATATCCAGGCATTTCTATACATCCTCTGAAATCTAGGTGGAGGTTCCCAAAGCTCAACTTTTGTCTTCTGCATACCCACAGGGCCAACACCATGTAGAAGCTGCCAAAGCTTGGGGGTTGCACCCTGTGAAGCCATGGCCTGAGTTGCACTTTGTCTCACAAAACCATTTTTCCCTTCTAGGCCTTGAGGTTTGTGATTGGAGGAGCTGCCACAAAGATCTCTGACAAGTCCTGGAGACATTTTTCCCATTGTCTTGGCAATTAATATTCGGTTCCTCATTACTAATGTAAACTTCTGCAGCAGGCTTAGATTTTTTTTTCCCCCAGAAAATGGGTTTTTCTTTTCTACTGCATGGTCAGGCTACAAATTTTGCAAACATTTATGCTCTGCTTCCCTTTTAAACATAAGTTCTAATTTCAAATCTTCTCTTTGTGAACACATGACTGTACACTTTCAGAAAAATCCAGGTCACCTCTCGAATGCTTTGCTGCTTAGAAATTTCTCCTGCCACATACCCTAAATCATCCCTCTAAAATTCAAAGTTCCACTGATCTCTAGGGCGGGGCAAAATCCTGCCAGCCTCTTTGCTAAAGCATAGCAAGTATAGCCTTTGCTCCAGTTCTAAATAAGTTTATCATCTTCATTTGAGACCACCACAGCCTGGACTTCATTGTCCATATTACTCTCAGTATTTTGGCCAAACCCATTAAACAAGTCTCTAGGAAGCTCCAAAGTTTCCCACATCTTCCTGTCTTCTGAGCACTCCAAACTGTTCCAGCCTCTGCCTGTTACCCAGTACGAAAGTTGCTTCCACAGTTTTAGGTCATCTTTATATCAGTACCCCACGCTACTGGTACCAGTTCTTTGTATTAGTTCCTTTTCACACTGCTATAAAGATACCACCTGAGACTGGGTAACCTATAAAAAAATAGCTTTAATTTGCTTACAGTTCTGAATGACTAGGGAAGCCTCAAGAAACTTACAATCATGATGGAAGGTGAAGGGGAAAAAAGGCACATCTTACTTGGTGGCAGGAGAGAGAGAGAGTGCAGGGAGAGGTGCCCGTTTTAAACCATCATATCTCATGAGATCTCCCTGGCTATCATGAGAACAGCATGGAGGAAACCTCTCCCATGATCCAATCACTTCCCACCAGGTCCCTCCCTCAGCACATGGGGATTACACTGCAAGATGAGATCAGGTGGGGACACAAAGCCAAATCATATTAGTTGTTCTTGCGTTGCTATAAATACTTGAGACGGGGTAACTTATTTTTAAAAAAGGTGTAATTGGCTCATGGTTCTGCAGACTGTACAGGAAGTATGACTCTGGCATCTGCTCAGCTTCTAGAGAGACCTCAGGAAATTTACAATCAGGCTGGGCACAGTGGCTCACGCCTGTAATCCCAGCACTTTGGGAGGCCGAGGCGGGTGGATCACGAGGTCAGGAGATCGAGACCATCCTGGCTAACATGGTGAAACCCCATGTCTACTAAAAATACAAAAAAATTAGCTGGGTGTGGTGGCAGGTGCCTGTAGTCCCAGCTAACTTGGGAGGCTGAGGCAGGAGAATGGCATGAACCTAGGAGGCGGAGTTTGCAGTGAGCCAAGATCGTGCCACCACACTCCAATCTGGGCGACAGAGCGAGACTCTGTCTCAAAAAAAAAAAAAAAAAAAAAAAAAAAAGGAAATTTACAATCATCACAGAAGATGAAGGAGGAGCAGGCATATCACATAGTGAAAGCAGGAACAAAAGGGTGAGGCAGAAGGTAACACAGACTTTTAAATGACCTGAGAACTCACTCACCATTGCAAGAACAGTACCAAAGGGGATGAAGCTAAACCATTAATGAGAAAAACACCTCCATAATCCAATCACCTCCCACCACTCCCCATCTCCAACATTGGACATTACATTTCAATATCAGATTTTGGCAGGTATACACATCCAAATTTTATCAATAACTATACAATGCATGTGAAAATGTTTTACACACTTAAAAACCTATACTAAAAAAGCATCATTTGTTATTTCTTAGAACTCTAATAATAACTTAGAGTTTTACTAGTGATTGACAGACGTATTGTGTGATGGATAAAACTGTTGGCTCAAAGTTTTACTCTTTGATGTAGTCTTGTCTTTTAAGCTGCTTTTGGTTAATGATATGTCGGCAGAAGTAACAGAGTGCTGATTTCAAGTCTGGCTTTAAAGAAACATCACAGATTTTCACTTTTTCTCTTCCACCACTGTTATCATCATAAGAAGACCAGGCTATAACTTGCCTGCTGGCCTAAGGAAAGTTAGAGAATTAAACATAACGTCTAGGTTTTTGAGCAATAGGCTAGCCAGTGGCTTTATTTATAGAAA